>NC_000011.10:30363030-30514545 GCF_000001405.40 Homo sapiens | reverse complement strand
GAAACAAGGAATTTAGTCTCTCATTAAAAAAAAATGTCCAGGCACAAAGCAGTTTTCAGCATCTGGTAATTCAGGGGCTCAGTGATGATACCAGGAACTCGGGTTCTTTCAGTATTCCTCTTACATGGTGGCTTTGTCCCAAAGGTTTGAGAATGACTGCTGCCGAAGTTCCAGGTATAGCATGAAGTAATGACAGTGTTCATTGGAAAAACAAGGTCATTCCTTCCAGTATGTCTCTTTGTATAGGTGATGACCATTTCCTTGAAGCCCATCCACAGACTTTTCTTCATGTTTCGCTGGCCAGGATTGGGTGACCGCACCTCCTTAAACCAGTCATTGGCAAGGGAAATAGATGTACTAACTAATCAAGATACCCTCACCTGGGTCTATGAATAAGTTTACCTTTCTGGAGCACAGGCTTCCCAGGGGAAGATGAATACATGAATAAAACTGGGGGCTGTGCTATTGAGGAAAGGTGGGGTGAAGATTTGAATGTGCCATCAATAGCATCTGCTTAATGAGTCTCATAATGAAGTATCTTTGCATGGCACCTTGAGGAAAGTAGCCTATGGTCTTCCTAGAATGGAGTCCCTTGGGTATGGCAGGAGACAGCACTGTAGTGAGGCTTGGCCAGTGACTGAGATAGGCTTGGGTAGCATTTTAAAATATCATGCCTTGTTTCCTTGTTTCAATATCTTGTTTCCTATTTTCATCCTGAAATCTTTACTTTTCTTGTTTCCTTTTTTTATGTTCCTTGTTCTCTTTTCTTTCATTCTTTTGTTTCCTCTTTTGTCCATGTTATACCAGGATCCATGTATAGGACAGACTTCTAGCCACCTGTGTCCCTTTCCCATAGAAATGATCTCAGAAGAGAAGATTACAGGTTCCTGTTATGTGGTCAGATTCCAAAGTTCTGAGAGACTTAACCTATCATCACCTGTTATGTTTCATGGCTGTTTGGAGCAGTTTAACCTTCTGTCTTATCCATCTACAGTTGAATAGTTTACTTCCTGAAGATCACGTATTTGGCATATTGAGATTCTGAAGATACCATAGGAACTATACTTTTAACAATTCAAGCTAATTATCTGTCACCATCAATTGGCCACGAAGAGATGGAAAGACACTTGGTTGATATCTGAGCCCACTGGTAGAGTGTAGCAAGAATCCCTGGCTAGACCTCTTGAAACAAAGATGTGCACAGAAGACAAGGCCTGACCAAAAAAGAGAAAGAGAAACAGTCATCTGTATTATTTTAATGGTTTTGAGCTCATTTCCCTTTATAGAGGAACTAGGCTTAACCATGGGTGGACTGAGGACTCCTGTCTCTGGACTAGAATAAAAGTAGGGCAGGAGGCCCCCATTATCCCTCCTTGCTAGGGTAATGCTGGTCACTGAGATCTTGTCTCTCATTAGAGATGCAAAGAAAAAATGGAAGAATATGTTTTTTTTTAAGGTCATGGCCCACTCAGACCTAGAGAACAGAATCTTTCAGGATAAAGCCTGGAAACTGATTTACTTTTTTTTTTTTCTTTTGAGACAGAGTCTCCCTCTGTTGTCCCAAACTAGAGCACAGTAGAGTGCAGTGGCGTGATCTTGGGTCAGCGCAACTCTGCCCCCCGATTCAAGCTATTCTTCCACCTCAGCCTCCCGAGTAGCTGCGATCACAGGTGTACACCACCACATTTGGCTAATTTTTGTATTTTTAGTAGAGACGAGTTTTCACCATATTGACCAGGCTGGTCTTGAACTCCTGACCTTGGGTGATCAGCCCGCCTCCACCTTCCAAAGTGCTGGGATTATAGGCGTGAGCCACTGCACCCAGCCATGATTTACTTTTTAACTTGTACATAATTTGGAAGATCAAACGGGTTTGGGAACTACTGGCCTAAAGTGACTATCTCAGGCTTTATAATCGTTAAAGGGTTTGTACAATCCCGGTTCTGGGGCAGTGATTTTTCCAAGGGCCCTGAGGGGCTAGAAATGTGGTGTTGTGGGGTAAAACTTTATCCCTCCCTCCTTCCCCCCACAACAAGAGCAGACCTAATTTCAGTTTTTTTGTTTGTTTGTTTTGTAAATTCAAACTTCTTCATAAACTTTTCTTTGAACAAAGTTTTCCCTTGACCCCACTTGCCCCAGCATGCAACGAGAAATGATCTGTTTCTGGGCCAAGACACATTAGGTGCCATGGCTTCCTAATGTCATTATCTGGGCCATCTTGGCAGAGCCGAGGGAAAAATCCCATCAAGGCCACTGAATGTCTGAGGTCACATGAACAAGATATGGAAAGTCAATGGTGGCCAAGTAGAATGACCCTGGAAGGGGACCCTGGAACCAAGGTGCATGGCCCTAGTCATGAGGACATCTTCCCTCTCAGGACTTCTAGAAGCCCAATGACAATAGAGTTCTCATAGGACACCGTTACTACTGCCTATTTGGTGTCTCCTCAGTGAAGTCATTGTGTTGTGGCGCATCTCAACTCCCCAGAGTCCAATTCCCTATAATAATGAGAATTTTTAAGGAGACAAAAATAGAGCCTAAGAAAATAAAGAAATATGCTAGCTTTGTTGAACTATTCCAAACCACACCCAGACAATAACCACAAGGACAACAACAGTAATTGACGTTCAGAGTATACACACATTTAGCCCAATCTTGCTAATGGATTGCATTTTAATCTCCGCAAAGTTGCTTCAACATTAGACCATTAGTAGCTTGCCTTCTGAAGGTAGAAAATTAAATATTTTAGAAAATATTTTCATCACAAGGGTAGATTTTTAAAAAATATTGTCTAATTAATTGTCAGCTAATCAACTATAGATGATTGCACTGAGCGTTCTAATGAAAATTGAGATTTACAAGGAACTATGTGCTTGCTATACTGTTCTAAACATCTCTGGGGTGTGTGTGTGTGTGCACGTGCACATGTGGTGTGCATGCATGCATGTATTTCCTGCCTTCTTACATTGTGCCGTACATAATCAAGGAAGTTTATTTCTTAGCTATCTTTACTGTTCGTTGAAAAAGGGCTAGACAGACAGAAAATATTGACTTATCCCCCTCAAAGACACCTTCCTGGATTGCCATATCTTGGTAATTTTCTCTGTTACTCTCTTTCATAGGACCTGCTAATTCTCTTCCTTGCAGTTATAATCTGAGTTATGTTGATAGGTTATTTACTTCTTTATTATCTGTTGCTCCCACCTGAATATAAGTTCCATAAGGCCAGAGACCCTGTTCTGTTTGCTGCATTATTATATTCCCAGCCAGCCCCATCATACTGCCAGTCACATCCTAGGACCCCAGGGAATATTTCTTGGAGGTTGTAGAAAGACTGTGGTCATTTCATGGCATTCTGGGGCCCTATTTCATTATCAAATCTCATCCTGACTTTTGAGAGAGTCAGAAGCTTAGTGGGATTTAATGGAATCTAATGGGATTTCTTTTATCCAATGCTACAGGATTCGAAAATTAGGTTGAGACCTGACTTTGCAAGACCCTTGAAATGAGCCAAAACATAAAGAAAAGTGAGGGAAGAGAGAGTTAAACCACAAAGTGGGTGAATCTGAGAATGTGGGGTTGAAAGTGAAATGCCACATGACAGAGTTAAAAAGTAAAAACAGTTTAACCTGAAGAACTGAAATCTGGCCACACTTTCCTAGTAAGGGATCAACTTTACAAGCTTTGGATGGGTTTGAATAGAAGAGGTTGGAGTTCTCAGTTTTGGAGAATTAAGTTAAGCCCTGCAAAAATACCTTCTTTTTAAACCAGTGTATCTAATCTCCAGTTTCCGGTCAGAACGCTCCAAAGTAATTCAATTTTAAAAAATAAATAAAAGTAGCCGTTTTCAGAGAAAGTCACTCTTCATTTTCACCATTTAAGAGTCAATGATCTGAGCCTTAGCTTCCACTCTGAGGAAAATAATCTTAGTGAAAAACAAAAGCTGGCATGTTAGAGACATGTAGAAATGAAATACTAAGCTAGAGATGAGCCTACATATTATAAAAAGATACCAATCTAGAAAATCTTTTGCTCTCAACCTTGAGAAACCACCTTGGTGGTATTGATATGAAAAAGAGGTGCTGTATTGGCTGAGGATAAGCAAATGTAGCCCCTTAGTTATTGATGAAAATAAAAGTAAAAGTTGTGATGTTAGTATCATGGAAGAACTTTACCATTGAGTTTCATTAAAGGTAACTCAGTGATAGTGTCAGAGACAGAAGAAAAGCTTGGAAGAACAGTAGCTAGACACAGAAAGATAATTTCTATCATCTTAAATTACTCCCTGGCTTAAGCTCATGTTTAAGATGGCTAAATAGATGCTTTCCATGAGTCAACTGAAAAAAAAATGGCCTTAAACCGTGATAGTACAGGTTAAAAACAAAAGAGTATCTTAACAATGAAATTTGATTAGTCCTCTGTGTCTATGAAATAAGAAGAAATGAGTGACTATATGTCTTGGGTGTTACTGCATGATACTTGCTGGTAGTGGCAGATGAATGTTAGGACCCAGGATTCATGATTGTAGGCACAGTCTTTAGAAAAACTTCTTAGCTTCTCTGAACCTAAACATTCTGATCTACAAAGTGAATCATTTAAATCTCTGACCCGGTGATTATGTGATATGGTGGAGAAGGAGAGGATTGGTCTGCAAAATCAGAAGTTCTGAATTGCAACTAAGTCATTGGGTGACCTTGGAGGAGTCATTTTAGCCTTGCTAGGTCTTAGTTTCCCATTCCATGGAAGGAATGATTCAAATCTCTGAGGACTCTGCTAGGTTGGAATTTTGGTAAGCCTGGAATTAAAGGATAAAAGGTCAGGAGCACCCTGCTGTCCCTTGATTTTCTGTTGGAAGCAAAAGGATAGAACTGGCCTTGCACATAAATTAGCATGGATTCTTTCATCTGACCCAGTGACTTGGGGGCCTGAGAAGATGCACACACGTGTCCTGTTTGGGCCTAGGCAGTAGGCTCATTTATAAAGAGTGGCCTCTGCAAAGCCAGCTGTCAAAACAGCAGTGATTTTCCTGAGAGGCCTAGGGGTGAAAACTTTCAGATGAAGGGATACAATGAAGAAATACAGGCACCTTCCTCAAATAATGAATGACTATTCCATTAACTCCATCTATTGATTACTCCTCTGAGCTACCGGGAACAAAGGCTGGAAAAATCTTTAAGTGCATAGTGTCAACCATGCAGCAATAATTCCCTTCTCTTTTGAAATTGTAACATTATTTGTGTCATGTATATAGTTCATTTATT
The DNA here is from genome assembly GCF_000001405.40 of Homo sapiens. Taxonomy (NCBI): domain Eukaryota; kingdom Metazoa; phylum Chordata; class Mammalia; order Primates; family Hominidae; genus Homo; species Homo sapiens. Next base: position 30,509,284 of record NC_000011.10, on the reverse strand, counting down.
CATTTATTCATCCATTTATTTGTTCACTCATTCAACAAAATTGAGCCCTTACTACAGGTGGGCCAACTTCTTTGCCCTCTTTTGCCTTTCCCAGTAAAAAAAGCCCCTGTATAACAGATTTTAAAAATCAGATTTAGTTTATTAATAGCAAATTAACAGTATACTTTGTGATGTATATAATTGGTGTCATCCTTGAATAAAATAAAAATAGGACTTATAACACTTAAAGGCCATTTTGTAGCCAAAATTGAGGTCTTCGCTAATCATATCCACATGATTCTCAGGCAATATAGAATTATTTCTTCATTCATTCATCTATTTGATAAGTAATGATTGAGGCCTTCTGGGAATGCAAAGATGAATAGAATATAGTTCGAACCCTCCTGAGGTCCATAGTCATGTGGCAGAAAGAGAACTCGTTAGACAAATCCTCATTCTGTGAACTGCAAGCACTTGGCAAGCTCAGACCTCCAGATATGAGTGGGGAAGTGGCTGGCAGGGCACAGAGAGTTCTACACACCATACCACAGAACGTTTGGCCCTTTGTCTGTGGGCAATAATAGAGAATCTGGGAAGATGTTAAGTTGGGTGAGTGTTTAAGTGTGTGGAGGGAGTGTATATGATCAGATTTGTATTTTGATGAGATCACCCAGCTTTAGTGTAGGAAGGATTAAGCCAAGGCAGCCTTCTAGGAAGGGTATTACTTTGCTAGGGCTGTCAACCATGGAAACACAGACTATGTGGTTTAAACAACAGACATTTATTTTCTCACAGTTGTGGAGGCTACTAGCAGGTTTGGTCTATGCATTTTGGGGGAACACAATTCAGCCCATAAAAGAAGCAAACCAAAAAGTAGGGGAAATCTGCTCTTTGACAGAGTGTATGCATATGTATGAGGAGGGAGAGAAATTTACATGTTTTTTAATGAACAATTTAAGGCAAATGTAGTATGCATTTACCTGACTTCACATGTCTAGGAACAAAGACCCTCATAGAACAAACACATTTTTTAAATTTTTTCATTTTACTGTCATGCCAAACACCTTTTTATGTATTTATTTTTGTGTCTTGCTTTGGAACAACGTTCAGCAGACAGAGTATGCTCTCCAACTGTGTTCCGATTACCTGAATTCCTTAAAATACTTAATTCAAATTATTTAAGGAAGAACTTTATGGAATACTTTGTGCCTTAATTATACTAATTAGGAGAAAACACAGATTTAGGAAGACAGTGTAAATTTATCTCTTGATAAATTTTAAGATGCTGAGGCCTAGATCTCTAGAAATTGGAAAACCCATGAGTAAGGAATGAAAATGTAGAAAGTAAAATAGACCTCCAATTCTGCTTCTTGGAACCTTGGGTACCAAGGGCCATGATGGAATTTCCAGAAATCCTTTCTTCCTGAGGAATTATACTACGTACTTTTTACTGCTTCATACCAGCGGGAGGCTTGTGGGATAAAGCCATAAAAGCATTGCCAAAGAAATATCGGAGACTATTGGAAATGTGTTCCAGTGGAACCAAAACATTATCCAAAGGAGACTTCATGATTTCACACCCCCCAGGAAGTCTTAGTGGCTCTGATTCAGGGTAGCTCTTATAGTAGTAAATGTTGCCCATTGAGGGGTGGAGAAAGCAGAATGGAAAAGGAAATGAATATGGTCTCCATTCCCTCTATATTGTCACTGCCACTATTGATCAAAATAACCTTCTCTGAGGGGTTTCTTTGTAAATATTGTACTTGAAATGCTTCACTCAAATTTTGAGTTATAAAATGGGAAGAATCAATTTTACTGGCTCCTAAATTTTGCTCTATGCAGCTTCCTGTCCAGCGTGGATATTATTAAAATTGACATAGGATGTGTGTGCAAGGTAATATCCCCTTTCGTAGGCACTTCTCTAAATTTCAGGATATTCTGTAGAGTGGATTAGATTATACAGTGAGTGGGGATTCAGAAAGGAGAATAGAACTGTGTATTGATGCCTTCAGAAATATTATTTGATGGCAATAAAATATTCCCCGAAATTCCCTTCAGAGGGAAGAAAATGGAGTTTGTTTGCAGTAATTGCATTTTCTAGCATTTGCTCTTACACTTTCCAATATAAGCCAATTGGAACCCATGATTTGGTTTTGCTTATTGACAAAAGTACCATGTAAATTGATCTGTGATGCATTTAAAGAAGATGCTTTGAAAGTTTGGAAATTGAGATGGCTTTTTCTTATTAGATTTTGAGAGTATTAGGGTTCATTTCTATATTTTAGTCTAATGTAATATTAGCCAAATATGTTCTTTTTCAATTTAGTTTTAATCAAGTTCTGGAAGACCATTTTCATTTAGCCCCAGTGGCGCTGTTAACGCAGAGATTTTATTTCCACTGTCAACCCTCCATTCTGGTTTCTGCAGCCCTGCCCCGCAGAATTCCTGCATTCGGAAATCCTGCATCATCTGCCCAAATGTTATTTCAGCATGCAAAAATGACAGTAGTTATTACAAAAAGATTTTTAAAATTCTTATTTGCAGGCTTAAGGAGGGGAGGAATTTAAAAAGCCTCTAAAATGGTTATTTCTTTTAAAAGATATGGCCTTTATGCCTTATGTTATTTTTATTTAATTTGATCATCACCATACTTAATGGTTTAAAATGCAAACACACAGGATTTGCATTTGTTCCTCTAGTTATTCAGTAGAATAATTGCCACTTATTTTATAATTATTGCTGGAAGGAACACCTTTTTCTCAGTTGCTTTTTAAAGGCTTTGTGGGGGAAAAATAAACATATCATTCTTCATCTCATCAGAGACTTTGTCAGCCAACACTACTAGTTTATTAAAGATATTTATTAAATACTCTTTTAAAGAGGTAGAACATAGGAGATGGGCTCCTTATTCTGATCTAAGTTACACTGCAAAACAGAAGACAGGATAAAAATAACAGTAATAGGCCAGGCACGATGGCTCATGCCTGTAATCCCAGCACTTTGGGAGGCTGAGGCGGGCTGAGGGGATCAGCTGAGGTCAGGAGTTTGAAACCAGCCTGGCCAACATTGCGAAACCCTGTCTCTACTAAAAATATAAAAAATTAGCCGGGGGTGGTGGTGGGCACATGTAGTCCCAGCTACTTGGGAGGCTGAGATATGAGAATCCCTTGAACCCTGGAGGCGGAGGTTGCAGTGAACTGAAATCGCGCCACTGCACTCTCACCCGGGTGACAGAGTGAGACTCCATTTCAAAAATTAATAATAATAATAATAACAATAATAATTATCATCCTTTATGTGGCAGGTATTGTATTTGGTCCTTTCCTGCTCTCACTTATTCCCCATACCCACTTCATAAGGTAGATTGTACAATTATTCTTTTTCTTTTTTCCTGATGAGTATTGTGAAGCTAAAATTATGTGTTTGGAGTCTGAGTTTAACAGGTAATAAGTGACAGAAGCAGGAACTTGATCCGAAATCTGTCTGACTCCAAAGTCCACACTCTTTCCTTTATGCCACATATTCCTGTAAGTTCAGGTTGTATAAACATGCACACAACTGATCCAGATGAAACCTGACAATGTCTTTACCAATTTTTCTTGTGATTATCTGGTGGAACCTTGATTTGGATGCGGTTTTCTAATGCTTGAGGAAGTAGATTGAAGGGTCTTTAGAAGCTAGTCTGATTGTTCAGATCGAATTTGTTGTATAAATCTTTCTTTATAAGCCAAGACCCTCATTTGTAAAGGAAAGTTTGGATAAAATAAACAGTGGAAGAGTCTACCTTATGATTCTTTTGTCCAGCCAGATGGCAATACTGGAATATAATTGGAGTTGCATTTAGGTGGACGGTTACCACTAGGGATTCCCATTTAGAACATGCCATGTTGATTTGGGTGGCAACTTAGAGATACTCGGTTGGGAAGCAAGGAGGATAGTGTCATTCATTTCTACTACCTTGTGGTTGTCTTAAAAATATATATAAGCGTGAATGAGTATGTGCGAGTGTGTACGTGTGTGTGTTTAGGTCACAAAAAGTTGTGTTGGAATAAGGCCATGGTTGAGGCAAGAATGCTTACAAATAAGGAGTTGCTGAGCAGCAATAAAATCTCTGGGCAGTTTTCGTGGTCTAAAAATTGTGGATATTAATGGCCTGCTTCCCCATCATTTGCACTTGTCAGTTGTTACCTGCCATCAGTGCAATGCAGTAGTGACTACTGTAAGGGATGGGGAGTGGACTTTTGTCTTCTTTGTGTGGACTAAGGTTTATCACATCTCCTGGTGCCTTGGGATTCTCTTTATGGAGGAGGCTGAAGCGGAGGAGGGAGCATTTCCGCTGTGGTGTCTTACACTGGTGCTCATTCCTGCAGTGGACCACCGGGCTTTCACTCCGCATCCCCTGCCTTCTCCTGGGTTTCTGGCTCAGCCCTGACATTATTGTAATATAGTTTTCTGTGTTTAATATTTCTTAGACCTGGTTTCCCATTGCAAGCATGGAAGAAACCCTAATGCATGAGTTTCAGAGGAGAAGGTAGCAGTCTGAACCTGCTGTGTGGCTCCATCAGCAAGTGTGAGTATTAACGTTAGAGCTGTCAGGACTTGTGAAAATTAATGGAGCCTGACGGGGGACAGACTGAGGTCAGAGACAGAGCTTGCCCTGACTGAATGTTTCTGGTGGTTTTGTAGCTGAGTCAAGTGAGTGCAAACTGTGGAGCCAAGGGGGATTTCTGGAGTATGCAGTGGGTACCAACTAAGTGCTAAGCATTCTTCTAGGTGCCAGGGGTACAGCAGCAAAAAGTTGGCTCTGCCTCCTCATAGCTTATAGAACCCCCTCCCCACCTCCAGGCTGGACTCAGGCCTTCTCTGCTATCAGCCCCCAGTAATTGCCAAGGAAGGAATTTAGATGAAATGTCTCCTTAGCCCATCCTGAGCCTCATAGTTCTTCCATGCTCCTAGCAGTTGGTATTACTTTTTTCCTTTCATCTTCCTGCAGAATTTTCTGCTTGGCCAGTTTTCAAGCCCAGGTTATTCTTATTCATTCCTCAGTGAAATAGAGAGGCTTCAAAAGTTTTAACATTTTCCCTGTTCCTGCTGGAGTTACAATATTAAACATATAATAATAATTTTAAATAGGAAAAATTTCCTCCTTCTGTGTGCCTTGGGTGAAACAAAGTAACTTTATATCACTGGCATTAGGGAACAGGGTTTTAAAACAGGCATCTGGCACTGCCCCATTGCAGGCAGGTTTCAGAAATGTGATCAAATTGTTGTATATCTCTTATTTAGAAACAGTCCTGTGATAACAGGTCTGACTATATATTTGTTTGATTCTTTTAAATCCCAACAAGTTAGCTTTTTTTTCTAGCACATTACCAAGGGAAAGTGAGCCTGAAGGCTGTGCCCTGTGAATTTGATTTTCCTGGGCACCTGGGAGCCATAGCAAGTTCTTCTTCTGTCCTGTCATCTCTGTTGTTTTTCCTCCTGCTATAGAATGAGCTTTACTGACTGTGAGTGCTATGCCCCAGACATTTTTGGTTTCCTTATATATTTTAAAAATCTATAATATGGGAGAATAGAGGGGAGAGGGCATAGGGATTGGCAGTCTTAAAATATGTCAGCTTTATGGAACTAGGTTTTCTTTTATACAGGAAAATGACAAGCCATGTTTGCTTTTGGAGGCTCTCTTTCACAAAGAACTACTGCTGAATGCTGGGGTTTTTCTCTTGGTTTTAGCAGGAGTAAATAGGAGATAGTAATCAATTAGCCTTGCTGACCAGATCTCTGATTTTAAAAAAAAGGGTGTGGAGAAAGGATATTTGGTGTTAACCACGACCTGATGATTGTGATCGACCCTGTTTTCCATATTCCCTGTTCATGGGGAATGAAGAGTATGAGGCAAGAGTTGTCTTCTGAAAGTTGGCAGGCTGTATTAGTCTGTTCTCATGCTGTTACTAAAGATATACCTGAGACTGGGTAATTTATAAAGGAGAGAGGTTTAATTGACTCATAGTTCAGCAAGGCTGGGTAGGCCTTAGGAAACTTATAATCATGGCGGAAGGGGAAGCCTACACGTCTTTCTTCACATGGCGGCAGCAAGCAGAAGTGCTGAGCAAAAGGAGGTAAAGCCCCTTATAAAACCATCAAATCTCGTGAGAACTTACTATCATGAGACCAGCATGAGGATAACCACCCTCATGATTCAATTACCTCCCACCAGATCCTTCCCACAACACGTGGGGATAACAGGAGCTACAATTCAAGATGAGATTTGGATGGGGACACAGCCAAACCATATCACAGGCAGATTCCTGGGAAAAGTAAATGTTCTGGAATTGACCTTGGATTTTGGTTTGACCTAAACTTGAATTTTCTAGAGGAATTCATTCTATAATGATTTATAGCAGAAAACCTGATTGCAGTTGTTTGATACTTATTTTTGAGGAACATTAACTTGTATTGAGGGAGAGGGGCAAGCTAGAGAGGAGATCACGTTTGGCCAGAGCAGTGCTTATATATGTTTATTTTAAAATGCTGATGCACATGTGCCCCCAGTCCCCTCATTGTTCTCTATTATCTTCCACCTAGTTCAGCTCAATTCACATTGTTTCTTTACCTCCCTAGTCCATGTAGGTGTTTGAATTTATTACCTCAGACCTCCATTTTCCTATCAAAATCTCATCCTCATAATTGTAGCAACAAGTTTTTAGATTCTGGGACCTCACATAAAGTTGGCCTTCTCTTCACTGGGTAGGCTCCCACATTCTCCTGGGAGCCTGTAGATAAGAAATTGTACCAACAGCTGCAGTAGCATTCGGGGAATGTTTTAATTAAGCCAGGATGTGTTTTAATTGTTACAGCATGAGGCTGACACTGCTTTATTTCCCATACAGGAGAAGTCTGTGATATAGCCAGAGAAGCATCTAGAATGGAGAGTTCTGTTTCGTGGGTACAAACTAAAAGGGCCATAAATGCTTAATATTAGATAAAAGGTTACTATAGATGGATAATGGCATGAGGAGGATTCATGTATGAGTAGGCCTTAAGTCAAACTTTATCAAGTTGTCACATATGTGGGGTCATCTGAAAACTACTGGTCTGGGAGCCAAAGAGCTAGATTCTGGCCCCACTTGTGGCCTGTGACTGCACTTAGTAAGTGGCAGCACCTCTCTGGCACTCAGTTTCTTCATCCATAAAATGGAATTGCATGAATCAGTGGTTTCCTCTTAATTTTTTTAAGCCAGGGTTAACTTTCTTAGAATGATGAAATCTTTCCCCAGATGGTAAAATCAAGGAAAGCATAGCTGCTCTGGTGAACCTCAGAGAAGGTCGTTCCCCTCTGCCCTTCTCCATCCCTGGGGAGGCTTCACGGAGCACAGCTTCAAACCACTAGATTGTCTTGGAGGACCCTTAGGGGTTCATGTGTTGTGATTCATCAGAGCCATTATAAGTGGCATGTTAAATGTCCAGAGTTTTATAAGGGAGTTATGCTGACTTTGACATAAGTTGCTATGTGTTTGTTTTAACATTGTTATAGAGTTCATCAGACATGTGCATAGCTGGAGATCTTAAACTTTTCATCTATTCCTTGCTGCATGCTCATAGAAGAATAACCCCACCTGATTCTAAGAAGAAATTCTGGATATTCTGCATGAGTAGTCACTCTTGAGAGAAACAGTCTGGATGCTATCTATTACAGGTTATACTAATCATTCATGAATGAGAGGCCACTCGGCACATTTTTTGGTATTTGATAAATACTGGAAGACAGAGATATCTGGATGAGAGAAGGAGGCAAAAAGTTGTGTGTTAAGGGAATACATTGTGCGAGGTTAGGATTATCTCAACAGAGGTGCTGTGTTTGCATTGTGTGCAGGTTGGAGACCTCATAGCCGCACTGACCTTCACTTTTAGATCCAAATGCTTATTGGCCCTAATAATACTTTTGTTAGTTTGAAAGACATGTTGGAACATGCCAGTTTCTGCCATGAGAAAAATCAAAATGTTCTTTTTCGTCTTCAGATGCTTTGCTTTGAGAGTAGTGACATTGTGCCTGGCATCAGGGAGTGGTCCAATTTGTGGATAAACCAATGATTTATTGATGGCGATTGGGAAAGATGGTCATGACAATAACATAACAACACAGCTAATGTCTGTTGAGTGAATATAGAGTGTCAGAAACTGTGCAGGTTGTTTATATGCAGGATGTTGTTTAATCCTCACCATACTTTAGAAGCAGTATTTTATTTTTACCCTATTTATATCTGAGAAAACTGTAGTTTAAAAAGAGTTGGAGATTAGTCGGCTAGACTGGATGTTGGGGAGAAGGAACAGGACACTTCATGCGGGCTTAAAGTTGGAAGAAAATGTGACATTGGCTTAAACCTTACCATAGCCCAAGATGACAACCCGAGTTCCTGGAATTCTATGGAAGTTACCAGGAAGTCTTGTGGAGGTTCATTCGTTCCTTCACTTACTCAACAAATCTGAGTTGTGTGTCTGCCATTTTGAAGATACGGGACTAGGTACTTTGGGTCAATAAGGAACAACAAGCCATGATCCATGTCTTCAAGTCTATGGGGATACAAGTCACATGCAAAAGCAAAACTCAAAAATGGAGTAATAATAGTGAACGTGCACTGATGGTTTACTCTGCACCATGCATGTGCTTTAGAGGCTAAATTTCATTTTATCTTTGCCAAAACTCATGAGGTAGGTGTTATTATCCCCATTTTGCTAGCACACTTTAGAGAACATAAGGAATCTCCAAGGTCATACAGCTAACATGTAGCAGAGACTACAGAGTCCCCATTCTTATCCCCATGCTGCGTCCACAGTTTAAATTGTAATAGTTTTAAAATCGAATCATTAGGAATAGAAATGTGAGAAGCACAGTAAGAAACTATTACATACTGCCCATAGAAGTAAAGATGAATAAGGAGAGTGTCATGGAATAAGCATGCAGATGAGATAGGATGCAAAGGAAGCTGAGGAAGAAGAGAGAGGAGAGGAAATATCAGAGAGGGAGGAGGAGAACTTGGAGAGTGCCACAGCAGTAATCAAGGGAATGGATCACACCACTGTAGTGTGATCAACAGAGGTCAGAATTCAAATAAAGCCATGGCTTTGGCCATTAGGAGGTTATTAGTCACATTCCAGGGACGCTTTTGGAAGGAGAGTAGAAGCAGAAGCCAGATTGCATTGAGTAATTTTTGAGTAACCATTTGGCTGTACATTGTTAAATCTATTAATATAGTGGCCCATCAGGCAGAACAAATGTGGTAAGTGGGCTGTATGAGAAGAAATCAGAGAGGGGAGATCTCTTGGCAGACTGGAGGTCAGTTTTGCCTGATCTTTTGATTTCCCACAAGAAGCTGGAAGTGCAGAAACTTTTGGGTGATATTTCCTGAGTTCTAGATGTTAGTTCATTACAAAAACAAAACAAAACAAAAAACAAACAAACAAATAATAACCTCAGTTGAGGGCTAAGCATGACACATCTGAGGGCTGAATTGGTCCCACCAGCAGCAAGCTTATGGAATCCTCTTTTAAGAAGTTTAGAAGTGAAATGAGGAAGCATCTCAAAGAAGCAAAAAAGTCAAGGAATGTTTACGATCATGTTTGAGGCACGTATGTGTGTGTGTATGTGTCAAGGGTTGTTTGTTTTTGTTTTCTTGGAGTGGGTAAATATAAACTCACCAAGGAGGAGGATTCAATGTATAGAGAGAGGCCCAAAATATCAAAGAGAGGAGATGCCTGGAAAAGGAAGGTGCTTATGGGAGTGGGAGGAATCAGATTAAGAGGCCAATTTGCAAATTGAACATCCCTACTATGAGAATCCAAAATCCAAAGTGTTCCAAAATCTGAAACATTTTGAGCACTGACATGACACTCAGTGAAAATGTTCATTGGAGCATTTCAGATTTTGGATTTTGGGATTTGGAATGTTCAATCAGTGTAACACAAATATTCCAAAATCTGAAAAAATCCAAAATCCTAAATGATTCTGGTCACAAGCATTTCAGATAAAGGATGCTCAACCTCTGTTAGAAAGATAAGAAGATGCAAACAGATGGTGTGATGGGAAAGTGAAAAGGCAGAAGTGAAGAGAACCTCCCTCCTTCTGTACACATGTGGTTAGAGGGTATTTTGCATGTCTGGAGAGGGGCTCAGTTGGAGCCTGGGAGCTAGAGAGGAACCTGGACAAATTTTGTGATGGCTGCTTTGGGGAGGTAGTGGCTGGAGTGTGGGGCACTTAGAACGTCAAGTAGCAGCGAGGACCCTGTTGACTTTCAGTTCATGAGTATCTACTTATGTGACACCACTAAGTGCAGAAGATACAGAATAGATAAAACTCAAATAACTGCCTCTTTTATGGTCTCACTTACATTCTGTAGCTCTAACCTGAACTGATGAGCAAGTTTTCCACATCTCATTAATTCACTTCCTACCATTGTCACTTTATTGTCCCTGTAAGTTACCTCTACTATTTGCTCAGTAATTTTCTTGAAATTACCTCTTATTTTACATATAAAGATAGAAAAAAGGAAGCTATATATCATTACTTATACTTTTATATTGTATTTGTCCAAACAATGCATTCTTAAAAGTAGTTTTAAAATACAAAACTATTTGACATTTTGTCAAAGGTTCCTTTCCATTTCACCTAAAATAATCTTGTGTACCATTAGTAGAACATAGACCATGCCTTGGGAACGATGAAACTGGTTGGTTGGTAGCGTTCTTTTTTTTTTTTTTTTTGAGACAAGTTTTGCTCTTGTCACCCAGGCTGGAGTACAGTGGTTCAATCTCGGCTCACAGCAACCTGCACCTCCGGGGTTCAAGCAATTCTCCTGCTACCACACCCGGCTAATTTTTGTATTTTTAGTAGAGATAGGGTTTTATCACATTGGCCAGGCTGGTCTCAAACTCCTGACCTCAGGTGATCTGCCTGTCTTGACCTCCCAAAGTGCTGGGATTCCGGGTGTGAGCCACCGTGCCCGGCTGGTAGAGTTCTTTGGGTCATTCAGAGCAAGGATTTTTTTTCCATGTTAGAGTATATATATGGCCTTGGTTTTTTTTATACAAGCAGGTCAGCTTAGCTGGCATGATCTGAATAAAATGGAAAAAGGCAGGCACCTCTTTGCCTGACAATTTTAAAGTGTTGCTATTTGAATACCAAGAAGTTTGAAGCTTGACTGCAGGGCCTTCCCAATTAATCTAGTCTGGAAAAAAAAAAACAACGAAAATGCCGTCAAGTAACAGGAGATTTGTCAGCTGCCCTGTTTACACTTTTCATATAAAACATAAAGGTTGGCAGATTATAGATGAAAGGTCAGTTCAGCAAAAAAGAAAATATGTCAGACAATCTCATAACATCGGTAACAGAGGATAGAAGTTGGAAGCTACTACTGGATTCTCGGAAAAAGATGAGTTTGTTGGTGATGTGTAAATATCATCACCTTTTTTGTGGCTCTTCATTTTGGTGGCTACCTTTTTATGCTGAGTCTCCAAAATTTGATTTAAAAGACACCAAAGATGCTTGTCTTTCTGAGAAAGATTTACTTTGCAGCAGTTTTACTAAAAAGAAAGAAAGAAAGAAAGAAAGGAAAAACCCAGTCTGAAGGGGGAAAATATACTTCCTTTGCCATAGTGGCTAGTCTCACCCACGCTGTCCCTGAACCCGAGCCCTAAAACGAGGATAAATTGAGAAACCCAGGCTTCCTGCAAGAGCGGTGGCACATAATGAAAGGGTTTACAGTGAGTCCCATCATCGTGAATGATTAAAGGGGAACTGGGCAACTACAGTGTGACTTGTACAGGTAAAATCTTCTGCTCTAAGAATCACACAGTAAGGACCGGCCTTGGAAGACATTGCTGTCTGGGAAAACGTTTTAGCCTGTTCCGGCTTTGGGAGCACAGGTGAATTGGGGCGGGGAGCACTATTAGACTCATAGGGTCACAGAGCCATGATATTAGAGTTGTAGGGTCTCTCACAAATTTCCAGCATGTGCAGTACTGGGAATTTGTGGCCCTATTGATATATCTTTCATCTGCACTTGAAGTTCTGGAATTGTGCAAGATACCACCATTCTATCCAAACAACTTGCTATGTACATCATACTCTTAATTACCAAATTCGCATAAACATGCATTTGAGGGAGGCTTCCTATTCTTTTTTGAACTCTTCAGCATAGCCTTACAAATAACTGAGGCCAAAGACGTGACATACAGCACTGTGGGCTAGTAGTCAAAGATATCCATTGCTGCTTGGCCTCAGCGTTTCTGGTTTCCTCTCTCTGCAGTGTTATTTTCTATCAGACTGCTTTCATCTCTCTCTTAAGCCTCCCCATTATTGCCCTTGCTATATATGCAATTTTATTATTGTCAGAAATCTAACAATTAATAACTAAAGAAAAGGCAGTAATATACAAAACATGGTTTGGCAGTCTTAAAAACTGCTTCAATATTAGCAAATATGTTTGTGATGTGCTGCTGAGACTGTGTGGACTTCACAATGTAATCTTTACAGTTTGAATTGCTGAAATCCAAGTGGACTGACGATGGAACTTGCTCCCCTCACCTCCCCCCACCCCCCGCCCACAAAATTCTCTTCCCCACTAAGTTTCCTTAATGAAATCATTGAGACTCTGGCTTGCTGGTAAGGACCAGTTCTTACAACAAGTGTATCCAATTTCCTGCTAGTGGTAACTTTAATTCTTCCTGGAATAGCAGGAAACATTAATTTCACATCAGACCCATAGGTCTCAGAAAGCTGGAATTATAGGTGCCATTGTCCCACTCTTTTTTTCCTCCAAAATAAAATAAAATAAAAAGCAGCAGATGAACAGTGAGGCTTGAGGGATGGGTAGTGACAGAGTAAGGAAAAGAACATTAATTTCAGGTGGGGACAGCTGCCCGGCACTATCTCCCTTTGGATTTTCGTTCTTATAGCATCACGGTGAGTTATTAATATGTATGACCCGTACTTTATTCAAACATTATAAATCTATGCAGAAGTCTGGTGTTTGGGTTTTCCTTTATAGCTTTCATTCTTCTTCCCAGAATTATCTCATTTTGATCAGGAAACTTTTGCATAAAAAGCACACACTGAGAACTCACATTTCCATACCATAAATATTAAAAGAGGGTTAAACTTTACAGTTTCTTCTCCCATCCCAATAGGAGGAAAGTTAGCCTTCTAATCAGGGGGCCCTTACTAATGTTCTTTTTATTCACAACCCAAAAAGGAAACTTAAAATTAGAGTTGAAATATGAAATTATACTATCTGGTTCCTTTAATGTATGTCAATTATGGAATGTTTGACTATGCCATGTCTTTAGTATGAAGCATATACTAAAAATCTAGTAGTTATCTAAGTTGTTAAGAATAGTTGGTTAGATTATGTTTTGAGGACCAAACTAGGTACAGACCTTCTCTTAAGGATCGTGATTAAAGAGCTTTTTACTGGATAAATATAAAGTGTGGATTCATTACCCTGTGGATTCATCACAATGAATACATAGCATACAGAAGAGGGAAATGGAACTAGAAAACTTAATGTCTTTTTAGCAACGTTTTAGCTACTTAGCAGCTTCCTATTTCCCGTTATTGTCATTTTTGTTAGCATAAAGTAGTAGTCATAAATTCCAGTTCACATGGAAATGTAAAGGAATTTGCGAGCTATTTCATTTGGGTGAGCTGTCTGCTAATCACACAGTCTCGGCTGTTGTACTTTGTGATGGGAAATGAACGTGCTAATTGGTGCTCTTTTTTCTTATTTCAGGAAACCTGCCATATGAATATAAAATAGTGATTGCTGGGAATCATGAACTGACATTTGATAAGGAATTCATGGCAGACCTTGTTAAACAGGACTACTACCGTTTCCCCTCTGTGTCCAAATTGAAACCAGAGGACTTTGACAATGTTCAGTCCCTCCTGACAAACAGTATTTACTTACAAGATTCGGAGGTAACAGTGAAGGGATTCAGGATATACGGTGCACCTTGGTAAGTGATGATTCAAACAGTTTTCCACATTGCTTTTTAGCTCAGTACCAAGAAAACACAGCTCAGATTTAGATGCTTTAAATGAAAATGATTAGGATGAAAGGAAACCTTATTGCTGTATTTCCAACAAAATACATACTGTACTGCTGCAAAATGCAACACTTGTTGTTTTCATTGTGATAGAGATCCCTTTAGGCAAGATCAATAGGAGTTAAAGCTTTCCTAGATATATACAGTCATGCCTCCCTCAGTGTCCATGGGGTATTGGTCCAGGACCTCCCACTGATAAAATTCCATCATGCTCAAGTCTTTTATATAAAATGGTGTAGTATTTGCATATAACCTATGCACATCCTCGTGAAGACTTTAAATCATCTCTAGATTACTTATAATACATAATACAATGTAAATATGATATAAATCATTGTTATGTTTTATGGTTTAAGGATTAATGACAAAAAATATCCAACATAGAGGCAATCCTTTTTCCAATATTTTCTTTTCTTTTCTTCTCTTTTCTTTCTTTCTTTCTTTCTTTTTTTTTTTTTTTTTTTTTTTGAGGTGGAGTATCTCTCTGTTGCCCAGGCTGGAATGCAGTGGTGTGATCTCAGCTCACTGCAACCTCCGCCTCCTGGGTTCGAGCAATTCTCCTGCCTCAGCCTCCAAAGTACCTGGGATTACAGGCACATGCCACTGTACCCGGCTAATTTTCATATTTTTAGTAGAGACGGGGTTTCACCATGTTGGCCAGGCTGGTCTTGAACTCCTGACCTCAGGTGATTGGCCCGCCTTGGCCTCCCAAAGTGCTGGGATTACAGGTATAAGCCACCGCTCCTGGCCCTTTTTCTAATATTTTCTATCCTTGGTTGGTTAAATCCCTGGATGCGGAACCTCTGATTATGGAGGGCTGGCTGTATATGTTTATGTTACTGGGGCTGGGTGTATGTCTGTGTGACACAGAAGGATTTGAGAGGAGGTCACCATGCTACCCTTCACATAGATTCAGCTGCTCTGAACATTCCATCAGCCTTAGGTAACTCATTTCCCTCTCATTTTGTACTGGAAGCAGTCATAAAATATCTTGCTTAGATTAGGGTTTCTCAAACCTCCCTACACATCAGAATTACCGTCTCTGTAGAAATATAGATTTTGAAGCCCTTCCTCCAGAGACTCTGATTGTCCTTCCTGAGATGAAGCCCAGCAGTTTGTATTTTTTAAAGTTACCTGGGCAAGACTGATGCACAGGTGGTTTGAAAGTTACTGGTTGAGAGCTGGCACTAGAATTCTCAGAACTAAGCTCTGGAAAACTTGAAACAGGTACATGTATCCTTGGAGGCCAGACAAGAAGCGTGTCAATCTTGATTGTATCAGTTGACAGTTGTCAGGTTTTAAAGGAGTTACTTCACAGTGTCTGAGCCTCAGTTTTCACATCTCTAAGATGGTGAAGATGATACCTATTTTAGAGGGTTATGATAAGGATAAAATAGGTAAAGTTTGCAGTGGACTGAAGAGAATATCGGATAGTTTGCTTAGGGTATGAATTATAATTTTTCTGGCCTTGGGCTCTCCCACTAAGTATTTATGTGAACTTAGGCAAGTCATTTAGGCCCTAGAGCCAGTTTTTTTTTTTATCTTTAAAATGAGAATGTTAGACTAAATGATTGTCAATATCAGCAGGTTCTAGGACTTTTTTTTTTTTTGAGGGTGTATATAGAGCAAAACTAACCTGTGTGTGTGTATGTAGAGCAGAAGAACTCACCTTTACTCACTTAATACAGAAAAGTACCCCAGTCCTTCACTAGGAGTTGTGGATAGGACTGGAAAAAGACAAGCAGACTGAATTCAGATTGGTCACTTTACTCAACAGTTTGGCTTGTCCTCTGTAAGTTAAAAGGTTGAGATATTTTCTTTTTTTTTTTTTTTTTGAGACGGAGTCTCGTTCTGTCGCCCAGGCGGGAGTGCTGTGGCGCGATCTCCGCTCACTGCAAGCTCCGCCTTCCGGGTTCACGCCATTCTCCTGCCTCAGCCTCCCGAGTAGCTGGGACTACAGGCGCCCGCCACTGCGCCCGGCTAATTTTTTGTATTTTTAGTAGAGACGGGGTTTCACCGTGGTCTCGATCTCCTGACCTCGTGATCCGCCCGCCTCGGCCTCCCAAAGTGCGAGATATTTTCTATAATTTTTTTTCTAGCTTTACGAGTTGGTATCCAGAAGGACTGGTGAGTGGGTACAGGAAGTACATATCTGTTTAAAATCAACCCCGACAATGATTTTGAACTCTTAATTAAGTACTTCCTATATGCCAGGCATTGTCCTACATTTTTTGTATACGTGTCATCTTATTTAATCCTCAAAATACCTTTAGGAGATGGGCACTATTATGATTCTCATTTGGCAGATAAGAAAATCCAGGTGCAGAAAAGTTAAGTAATTGCTCAAGAATCGCCACAGATAATAAGAGGTCTGATTTGAACCTGACAAGTCTGATTCCAGGGTGTACAGCATGACTGAGGGGTGGCAGGGGTTGGGATGTGGTAATTGGTGGTTATAATCCTCAGATCCAGTTTATACCTAGCTTTATTTAGTAAGGTACGTCAATTTATTTTTTTAATGTGTGAGAACGTGGTAAAGGGCAAGAGAATAAACAGCAGAAATCAGTCCTGTCAAACTGTAATCTGGGGTCATGTAGGATGTTGATATTAGCATTTCTGGGTAAAGGGCAGGAGACAGAGCATTTCCAGCTTCACAGCCCAGTTCTTAATGTCAGTACAGTAGTTGAGGAATGACCTCTGATTGGCAGAGGTGCTCTACATGCAAGTTAAGATCATTGTTTAAAAATAATTTAAGATTACTTTTGAAAAAATCCTTAAAAGGCACAGGACATTTAAGGCTATTCCTGAGCAAGCAGATGTTCAGAAATCCCTGGACTGATAGTTGCTGAAATGATGACAGCAACAAACTTCCTCCATTATCTGAGCTGATTCAAATCTGTTTAGGACAGGGTTCAGCTAAACTAGATTGTAGCTGTGATGAATGAGGGAATGATTTTGGTCCTCAGGCAGATCTTGCAGCATCTCAAGCAATCGAACAAACAGACTAATTCAGATATGTGATGTGGCAGGGCATGATCTGTTTTTGGTGGTGCTGCAAACTGCAGACAAAGTTTATATCTGAACTGGATTGATATCATTTAAAATGTTTTAATTTTAATACTGGCAAGGTAGCAAAGTCAAGAAAATAAGCACTAATCAGTCTTCTGAAATGTTCTCCTAAAGGTGTCCTTAGACTTAAGTCTGTTGAGATTTCCACAAAGCTTCAACCATTTCCTATTGAGCATCTCTTTACAATGAGGGAGATCTTTAAATGATTTTTGCCCCATCCATTGGAATTGTTGATACTTTGTATTTTGACCAAGAATACAGAGGTTGACAAAAATGATATTTCAGTTTCATCATCTGTTTTTGGGAGGCATCAGTAGTTTGGATCTCACTGTGAAGATATTTCATCAAAATTAATATTCCCAGAGCTACTGATAATCTGAACATCGATTTAGAAATGTCTGCATTAGCATTTCTGTGCTAGGGAGGAGAGTATTTGCCATCTTTACCACTTGCTCAGTGGGACCTTGGGTGAGTTTCTTAACATCTGCCTGCCTCTGTTTCATCTCTAAAATGGGAGAAAACATTACGGTTTCATGGTTGTTATGAAGATAGAATTAATGCATCCACAGTGCATAGAAGACTTTTTAGCATGGAGTAAGCATTTGATAAATGTTAGCTATTACTACTAATAGTGATGTGTTAATGTTTCCAAACTACTTTATACCTCTGTCAACCTTCATAAGGAGACTATGGGACTAGGAGTGAGATTAGATAAGTTTTAGCCCTAGTTCACCTTCTGCCCATTGGGTGACACTAGGCAAGTCCCTTAACTTCTTCATTTAGTTGTAAAACATGAGGAATGAGGTCTGCCCTTGTTTCTCTCATATGCCACCCACTTAAATGGTCATCAAAGTTAGAATTTTCAAAAACAATACATATTTGTGAGCATGCTTGAATTCCTTTAATGTCTTGTACAATTTTTAACCTCTTTTATTATTAAGAAGCAACGTTTGGGAGAACTTATACCATAGGTACCACTTTTCTCCCCTCGGAAATTAGATTTTTTCCATCTCTGAGATTTACACATAGGTGAGTCCCTGCTTAGTAACCCAACAGATATTTCAACCCAAAATAATGTAAATTGATTGTTTGATTTCCCTGTTTTCACAGTGACTTTTTTGGAGGAAGTATTAAGTTCTGCATTGCTGATACCGCTAGTGGTTTTAAAAATAGAAATCAAAATAAGAACCCTGATATTAAGGATTCACAGGTTTCTCAAAAGTAATCGCCATCAGACTAGGAAAATAGCTATAATTCATGTATTTAGAAGATATGGATTGTGGCTTGGTCTAGCTACAGAAAAAGAATATTAGTCTGTATTTGTTACATGTTGATAACTTGCAACACAGCTGAAAGCTACCTCAAGACTAGGGAGAATTAAAGTAGTGTTTTCTAATTTACAGTTTAACAGGAATTGGTATGTAGAAAATAACTTACAACACACCAGAGCATTTATATATGTTTGCAACCGTAATGTTCTGTAGTACTTACTAGATCCCCAAGGAAGAGGCTTTGAATGTGGTTTGATAGGTCTGGGAAAATCCAGTGGCCTAAACTGAAGATGTTATAAGTGGGATGCCAGGTCTGGAAGGAAAGGGGCTCCCTCAAATGGGAAGGCAATAGTTGATGAATTCTTTAGGGGCACCCTTACCTCAGGAGGCCTTAAGGCAGGTTTTATGGCATCTGTATGTATTCCTTCACCATCTCATTCTTCCAAGAATCTGGAAGAAAGGCATCAGGCATCTTTTTAACAGTTCAGCCACAGATTTGCTTCACTTCTCCTATTGTTGTTTTTTTCTCATTCTTT
Source organism: Homo sapiens (assembly GCF_000001405.40). Taxonomy (NCBI): domain Eukaryota; kingdom Metazoa; phylum Chordata; class Mammalia; order Primates; family Hominidae; genus Homo; species Homo sapiens. Next base: position 30,490,329 of record NC_000011.10, on the reverse strand, counting down.
TTTGGGAGTGCAGAAGAAGAAGGTTTTTTGTTGTCAGGCAGGTGGGTCAGCCTCATACATACTTCGTACCATGGGAGAGCTTGTGGATTGCTTGCATACCTAAAATTGATTCTCTGCCACCAGTGGTGCCCAATTTTGTCTTTGTGACTCACTCTCAGCTCTGTAACATCTTTCTCAAAGGCTGAGTATGGTTAGAAAGGGAACAAAATTCTAATCTGTCAAATACTAGCCCCTGTGGTAACTAATGGCATGTCTGGCTGGGTAGAGGTAAGGTAGAGTTTTGAAATCATCTTTGTATTTTTGATTACTGAATCTGTAGCCAGCTTTTTAACACAAGCAATTTGGGGTAAACTTACTCGTGGGACTAGGCTCTTCTTTTGCTGTTTTGATACTAAGATACTGTGCAGAAAAAAAAAAAATCCACATACTAATTGATCAGCAGCCAAGCTGCAGAAAGTGAAAGGTCTATATTGCACCGACTGGAGCAGAGCAGTTGTATTGTTCAGCGAAAGCCTGCACCTTGTTCTTCTCTTGAACAGAAATACAGAGCTGGTCTCCCGTGGCTTTTAATGAATATGAGTGGGGCTTTCCAATGTCCAGGAATTTGATCTCTAGGCTGACCAAAGGGTCAGGAACAAAGAACACATTTTTTCACGTTAGAGTGGACCCAGGTGTAATTTGTCAGATTTAGTAACTGTGGAGGAAGTGCCTTAACTTCTCCAGCAGGAAAATTAGATCAGGCCTAGGCAGTGCAATTCTAAAATGGCTGAAATAGGAAGAGAAAGTCTGTTGAGTTGCATTTTCAAAGGAAGTGTGAGCAGGATTTGTTTTCCCTTCCTCTCTTCCCCTCATTTCCTATCATAACCATGTTGAATTCATTCATTCATTTAGATGTAATTTTCTCAGCATTTTTCAAAGTGGGAGTTGATTTCACTCTCTGCAGCATTTCTAATTGTGTTTGCACACAAATAGCTACAAGGTTGCTCACATTTCCCTTGTTCTGATCAGTGCAATAGTACTTTATGTTTACTCTGTCAGGAAAGCGTCAGATGTTTTTATTTCCAATTATAAGTTTTGTAATGCATCATGTATTTTGCTGACAGTCTTCAAGTTCTTGAAATAGTGAACAAATTAACAGCAGATATTGAGTGAGAGGATTAGAAAACCAACTGGCAACTCATATGATAGAATTCAGATACAGGGATGGGTGGAATGGGCTCATTTATTTTATTTTCTCAGTCATACTTTGTAATTAACTTAGGCAAAAAAAAAAAAAAGGAGAAGAAGAAGAAGAAAAAAGAAAAGAAAGAAACAGCTCCTTGTTCAGCAGAAAAATCCTTTGGCACTAAAGAATGAGACTATGCAAACAATATTGGTTCTGTACGACGTTTTCAGGGATTTCAGCTTTTATTCAGGAGGGTTCAGAAAGGTGTTGGCACAGAAAAAGGTCTTGTGTGTGTGTGTGTGTGTTAAACAAATATGCACTCTGCTCTTACATGATTCTGTTTAAAGGCCCAGGGTAACATTTCATTTTTCTTGGCACAGGGCCCATAGACTCTCCCATTATGAAACCTATGGCTGTTCTGCCCTAGTCTAGAGTTACAGGGCTCTGTTTACATTTTTGCCTGTTTCAGAATGCAGCTGACTGCTCTTAAAGCCCGGATCAGATTCACTTCTGGTTTAACAACTGCCCTGTTTATTTGAAAAAGGAGAAAGCAAAACCGATCACTTTGCTTCCTACCTCGCCATTGATGACCAAATCAGTAAATACCATTTCCAAAGCCAGTTTATGCAGAACTGGTCATGTGGGATCTCACTCGTCCCTTTCTGCCAGCTCTGTCCAATTCAGCCTTCAAAGCCTGCCGGGTGCCTTTATCTGATGTGTTGGTGGTGGTTGTATGGAAGAATGTGGAGGTGCTAAAGAAGTATTTGTCTGCATTCAATTATGCTTCATAGCAACCGTTGGCATAATTTATATTTTTGCCTGCACATTCTGAGAGAGCCATTTGGCAAACAACAATAATAAATTTACATTTGGATGGTGTATTTCACTCAGAGAACTTTCATATGTATTATCTCATTTGGGGCTCACAACAATTCTTTAACCAGGGTATGTATTACTAATAATAATTAACAATAGCCAGCATTTACAGTGTTTATATGTCAACTGCTGTTCATTATTGCCTCCTTTTGACAGAGACCAACATAGAGAGTTTTTGACAGAGAAAGTGACTTGCCCAAAGCTACAGACTTAATTTGAGGGCAAAATAGGACTAGAATCCAGGCTTCCTTTGCGGAGTTTGCTAGACTAAACCAGGATATCCTAGATGTCTGTCTACTCCGTGGCCTGAGCAACTCAGGAAGTAGCTGCTTTTCATCTTAGAAGACCTGGACGTTTTCATCTAGTTGCAAAAAGGGTGTACAGAAATCCAGGCCAGCACCCTTCAGGGGCTCTCAGGATTAAGTGGTGAGGTGTGCTTCTAGGGGAAAATAGGATCATTGAGGGAAGAGAAAAAACAAGTGACTCAGACACTAGGGTTTAAAAAGAAAAATTGGCCAGGTGCAGTGACTTGTGCATGTAATCCCAACACTTTGGGAGGTTGAGGTTGGAGGATCACTTGAGCTCAGGAGTTTGAGACCAGACAGGGCAACATAGTGAGGCCCCATCTCTACAAAATTAAAAAATTAGCCAGGCATGGTATGTGCTTGTAGTCCCAGCTACTTGGGAGGTTGAGGCAGGAGGATTGCTGAGTCTGGGAGGTCGATGTTGCAATGAGCCGTGAGCACACCCCTGCACTCAGCCTGGGTGACAGAGGGAAACCCTGTCTCTCACACACACAGATTTATGTCTTAATGTGTTATAAGGCATGAGTCAGCTCCTGCTGTTCCTGCACCACAGAGGCAACTTCCTCCACAACACATATCAGGAGGCAAGTATAGGTTGCATGTGGCTTTTTCCCTCTGAAGAACCATGCAGTGGAGAGAGACAGCAGCCCTGGGCATATGCACCAAGAGGGAAGTGCTGGCAGTGTACTTCGGCTGCAGTCAGACCTGCCATGGGCCCACACTGTGCTCCACAGAAGACCTGGACCTCCACTTTGGGACATGGCTGGCTGGCTGCTGGGTGTTCTTTCATTTTCTCCTATTACACTAATAGGCTCCTTTTAATCCAGAGTTGCTGCTGGTGGATAGAAAGAGAGTATAAAGTGATTACAAGCTCCATCAGAGCAAGGACCTGTACTTTGTCCTCTATGCATACCCTAGGCAAGCTCAGTGCCTGGCACATAGTAGATGCTTGGTCCCTGTCTTCTGAACGAATGAATGAGTGAATCAGGGTGGTGGTGGTAGAGATATGTCTCTGGCTGGTGAACTGAGAATTTACACAGATTAGACACCCAGTGACAAAAGGAAAGAAAGTATTTCCAATACAAGATCAGGCACAGTCATGGACATACAAAACGGAAAGACTAGAGATGATAGAGCAAAATGGAACCAAGCAAAGCCCTAAATGATGTCCATGGGCTTTAATAACATGTGTTAACAAGGTACATGTACCTAGATTCTTCCTGAACACTCAGAAATCTAGCATCTCTTCAGGTGAGCATCGTTCAATAAAAGTGAGAAATGGGAGTAGGACAAATCTTACATTAAACCTCACAGTACGGCAGTGAGAGTTTTCAAAGAAAGCCTCCACCAGCAATTTTAGGCTTTTTGGTATCATTTCTTCAGCTCAGACACCTTATTCCCGTACTGTGAGCAGCTCTAGAAATCACTCTTAGTTACAGAGACCGTCGCTTCAAGGCTGCAGTCAAAGTAGTTGGTGTCAAGTTTGAGATTGGTCGGAAGCTAGACCAGGTGGGCCCTCAGAACGTCCTATGGACATTAAAACCAATTGTCAAATATACAGTATTCCCTTTTCTCAGTGGCTGAATTCTCAGTGATTGAGTTCTTAGCGTCGTGTAGATTCTGTACCAGTTATATTCAGGCTACTTGACAAACACTGATTACTTATTTTGTACTCTGAACTGTAAGTGAAGAGTGAACTTCTCCAGGTCTTGCCAGACAGTGAGCCCACTAGAGTCCCATTGACAGTCTTAACCTGTATTTATTTGGTTCCAGCCTTAGCTGCTTCTGTCTTCCTGTGATGCATTTCTCCTCTGTGGCTCAGATGTGTTCACAAGTTAGTTTAGGTAACCACACTGGATACTTTCATCCTTCTCCTAATCTCTGATGAAGGTGAGATGGGTTTTGGAGCACACATATATTTGGAGAGATGAGGTTGCTCCTTCCACTGGGTGCTCCTCTTTTGCCAGCACCACATCTGCAGAGCCGCAGGACATCCTTCCGCCCCTTCTGATGAGCCTGCATGCTGCCAAAGTTGTTTCACAATAAAGCCTTAATAATCAGAGCCATGTTGTGTTATGTGCTTCATACAGGAGAAGCCCCCTGCCTTCTAGGCTGTTTTGTGAGAGCAATGTCAAGGCATGATGTCACCCACCCTCTCAAGGGTTCATCTATAAGCCCATGGGAGGCTTGGTCGGGCTTGTAGAGCCACCATGTGCCTAGGGACATCCCCTCTGATGGCGAAGGCTTTGTTGAAACTGTTCTCCAAAAAAATTATTGCTAATTCTCTCTTCCCTTAAACAAGCAGTTCCTTAGGCTACAAAACTTCTGGCAGGGCCTCCCCAGCAGGAAGGCATGTGCTCCCCACATTGGGCATAGCTCAAACATCTACAACTCTGTTTTACTTACAGAAGGAGGGAGGCAGTGGTATAGAGCTCCGCGGGGTTTGGCCTTAGAAACAGGCTGTTCCCAATAAGCTTGGCTCTCACTTTGATTATTTAGAACTTATTTACCTTGTTACACATGTTATGTGTAACATGTGTAAATGTTACACATGTTATTTACCTTGTTACACATGTTATGCAATCTCTCTGAACCAGTTTCATCTGTCAAATGTGTATATAAGTAATAATAATAACTACTATTTATTGAGCATCATTCACATACAGGTACCAGACGTAAAATTGTTTTAAAGCCTCAAAGCAACCCTATAAAGGAGATAAATATTACCCTCATTTGGGAGATGAGAAAATTAAAGGTTAGAGAAGTTAAATAATTCACTCAAGGACACTTATTTTGCAAAGAACTGTAAATCAGTCCCAAATCGGTTTGCTTCCAAAGCCTTTATGTTCTTCACTACTTCTGTATATTTTTCATGGGATTAAAATAAGATCATGTATGTTAAGTTCCTGGCACTCGGTGAATGCTCAATTAATATTATTTTTTTCCCCGAAAGGTAACAGTTGTTAGTTTTGTAATGGCTATTATTTTTTGGTTTTGTTTTGTTTGCTTCGTTTCTATGGTGGTATTACCATGGTAGAAGAGAAGAAGCAAAAAAGAGTAGAAATGAGATAAATAGGAAACTTAGTCTAGGAAAATGCTTACCCCTGTTTGTGTATTGGTGGGGGAAGGGGGATAAAGGAAGAGAGAAACTGTTTAAAGTGAATATTGTACAGTTTCTTTGCATGGCAGGTTGCTTATGATCTGGATACGTAGAAACCATTTAAGAAAGGAACCCCATATTCCGCTGCATTTGGTCAAAAGGCATGGAAGAGTGGATAGACGTCTGTTAAATGAAGACATATGGGCATTTTGAAGGTCACTTACATGGAGTATCATTTTCAGTGTATGAGTAATGTTGGCAGTGTGTTTCCACCCAGGAAAAATAAAAGTAATCTTGGATGGTGACTATAAATTAAATGTGGACTGTTCCATGAGGGCTGCTCCAACACCAAGTGAGTGTCAAACTTTGAAGTTTCTGGGTTTAGCAGAATGCATATGCATTCTGCAAAGAGCTGCAAAGGTGAGCTACAAATCTGCATTAATTCAGGAGAGGATATGGGAAGACTGTTTTGCTTAAATATAAAAAATCAGCTTGGTTAAAGTGTAAATACAGTTACTATAACTAATAATGTCCAAGTATAAAATTTGTAGCAAGAAAAGAAATAAACAGGCAATGAGAAGTACCTGGTATAGAAGGGCATACTAGAAGAAGTGGTTAAGACCTAGCTTAAATAATAGTCTTCCTAGGATGAAATTTCCTAAGACAGCATCTGAAGGTGCCAGTGATATTTAATGATTAATTTAGATATTTTCAGGCCCAATGTCTTGGTGTGGTGGGTTTACAGGATGGATCACATTAAATAAAAAATGGTGCTAAAATTTCATGTAAATCAACATTGAAGACTAAGTGAAACCAATGCTATATTTGTAAAGGAAAGAAAAAGAAGAGCAGAGTCAACATATTGATTTTTCATTCTTTCCTAAACTTGGTAATGAACTTCTTTTATACATTATGTACAAAATGATTGCATATAGAACTACGTGCCTCTGATGGCTGCCTGGTTTAATAAACTGTGATTATTGTTTTTCTCTCTACATTTCAAGCTACCATATGTACTGAATTTCTGGGATATATCAATCTCAAAGCTAAACCTAATAGGATATACTGACTTTCCATGCCACACAAGGCTTCATGAGCCATGGGAAGTAGCTTTGGAGCGCCATGGTTCTAGAAAGAGGATTGTCAAAGACAGACACTCAGGAAAAAAAAATGTTTTATTGTCTTAATGATTTAAAAGTTCAACTCTTAAATCACTAGCCATAATTCAGGCCTCTTATTGAGTCAGTCATCAGTAGAAAAACCTTTCTTGCTTTGATCTTTGAAGAACAAAATAAAAGATGCTAGACTAAAACCTAATCAGAAATTATTGATGGCAAAACTAACTAGTTGGAATAGGCTATTGGCAGAAGTCTCTCTCCCACTTTTCTTCTTTTCCTTTGGTGTTATGATTTAAGGGGAAAAATTATGGAAGACAAGTTTGTTTTAAAAACTCATAGGGTTCATTTGTGGGTTTTGCATTTGTATATATATATTTTTAAATAATAATAAGAAAGCACTTGAGAATGAGGATTTTAGCCTATGCTGATGCTACTGCTTCTGTTGCTAAACATTACTTAATGCTTCCTGTTTTTCAGAAGAAATAGCCAAGACTAGTTCCTTTTCTTATCCACATTCAGCCATTTCCCTTAAAAAGATAAGTTCTGAAAAAAGTACTTACCTGTTGGGCAGTAGAATAAGTAGAAAAATGGAAAACCCAAATGTGTGTGTACAATGCTGGGTCTGACCTTTACGCTTTTAAATAATTCTTACCGGAGGCAAATTCTGTGTGGTTGCCGGCTTTCATAGCAGCTTCAGAGGCAGGCCCATGAGAGACGAGCGAATTTTCAGGGTATTGAGTGCCTTGCTACATTCACACTGTATGTGCCGTTCAAGATTACTATTGAAGGGAAAATCACAAGGTATTGGTTTTTAAGGAGGGTATTCGTATTTAAGGCTATTTGCTGTAGGAATTACCTTCTACAGAGTTTGAACTCTGTTCTGAAAAGTCTGAGAGAAATAGAAACAGTTCATAGGAAATTTTGAAGTTTGGCTAGCCTGTAAACCACAGGCTTAACAGTGCTCTAAAGTCAGTTCTGAGACTTTGTAACTCTTGATACATAATTATGAATGCATTTTTGCTTTGTTGATTGTTCCAATAAACAGAATCAGTGGATTATTGGTTAAGCAGAATACAAATATGCCAGAGAAAATTCATTCTCTTTGTCTCACTCTGAAAATATTGCATCAAATAATCTGAACGAGACCAAAAAAGCTTTTTGTCTGAGTTTCTACAAGTAACAGTAGAAAAAACAATGAAAGGGAAATAGTTAAATATAGAAAATCATCAAAAATAGAAATCATGCAAAAAGTAGACATCTCGATTCTTAAAAATTATGTTTCCCAAGCTGTGCAAACTTTCCTCAGTTAACCACATACTCACATGAATGAAGATTTCACAATTCCAGTAAAAGCATTCTTACATTCACCTTGAATGGTTTTGTCCCTTGAAGAACTAGCATCAGTCATCAGACAGCAATAGTATGTTTTTCTTCTTATATTTAGCAGTAAGCATTTTAAAAGCCATATCCTCACCAAAAATGTACAGATGGATCATTGCATTATAAAAACATATACTAATATAGTCAGAAAACAAAAACTGAAAGATAATACACCACAAGTTATAACAGCGATTTTCTCTTATGAATGTTCTTTTTTTCTTTCTCTTATTCTGCTTTTCCTGGGATTTTGTACATTCTTACAGTGGGTAAGTTTTATTTTTACAGTCAGGAAGAAAGGCCACATTCTGTAGCCGTAAAATGTGTGTCTATGAGTAATTGGAAATTAACCCTGTCCTTCAAACTTGGTGCCGTCATCACGTATATGATCCGGGTGTGTGTGTGGGTTGGCACATATGTACATATTTCACAGATTATCCCATTCAAAGATGGGAAGGTGGAAGTGTCTGTCCTCAACAAGTACTGTGGTTTGCCTGGCTGAAATGCAAGGAAACCCCCAAAAGCACCAGAGCCCTGCATTTATTCAGCTGAAAAAATGTGTTTTCTTTTTTAAATCAGAGTCTCCTAAGATAGAAGAACTTAGATGGCTCATCCAGTGCTGGGTTGAATGATAAAACCCAGACCTTTTTGGTGCTGCGTTTTGATTCATCCCTGAATGTGACACCCTGGTACTTGGGTTCCTGGGTCTGGCTTTACAGGATGTGACTTCAGTCAAGGAAAGCCTGGTGCCTACCTTTGCTTATTTGTATTCTAGTGCTGTAAGCTCCCCTCCTCTCATGTGTCTTTGTTCTATTAATCTGCAAAACAGGGCTCGACTTGTGATTAGTCCTTGGAGCTTGTTTCTATTAATCAGTCTGCAAAACAGGTCGACTTGGATGCTTTTGTTCAAGAGCTTAATGTGTTCTCCTTGTCAGGCTGTGGTTCAGGCTGCTCGGTTTGCTTTAAACGGGACCAGATGGTGAAATTTGGTTTTTATACGCTGATTGCACTGTCAAGAAGGAAAATACTGTTTGAAAAGACAACAGGAAAATGCTAGTGTGGAGTTGTAGAGTGATGTTTCAGGAGGAGGAAAAGTTTATGGAAAATATAACTTATGTAACCTGGCTGTGGTGTATAATAAACTGCACGGTGCAGTTGACTGGAACAGAAAATAAGGCATTATTCATATTATAGTCTAGAAGCATGGTGTCAAGGAAAGGTCGCCTATTAATAAAATTTTATGTGGATTTGAAATGTAATTCTTTTGATTCTTAAAGTGGGAATATCATTCTTTTAGCTACAGTATTAGCTACTGTAAGAAGACCCAATACAATTTTGTGCATTTCCTCACTTTTTCCTTTCCACCCTCCCTTGTGCCAAATGACCTTGCCACAGATTAAAATTATTCTACCTGTTATGTAGGGAAAACTCTGTATCTCAATTTTCTTATCTTCATTATCAAGGGACAAAAACTGACCTACCTGTGGAGATAGAGTGTGGGCTAACTGAGTGATAGTTATAAATTGCTTTGTAAAATGCTCATTATCACCATTTAAAAAATTCTCCTAACTCTAATGTGCAAAGGATAGCGTCACTGGAAAGGAATTGAAATGCATAACTTTTTTCTAGTGATAGCGACACTCTAGGAAGAACACAGTTTTTATTGGAAGTTGTCTTTTACATCTCTAAAAATTTCAAGTAAATTTAGCATTCATTACTTGTGAAATAGCTGCCCCCTCCAAAAAATCTGTTGAAGTATATGCAAGGAGCAAAGTCTCAAAACTCCAAATTAAATTTGTCATCAGTGATAAATTTAGTCCTGTGAGATAGTTTAATAAGTGCTTCAGCTTGATTTATTGGCTTTGTTAGTTAACAAGAGTGTATTATGTCTTGTACAGAACTTAGCAGAGCAATTTCTGACTAGACCTTCCTTGATTAAAATAAAAAACTGAAAGTCTCATTTTAGTCACGGCGATGGTAATTATTTTAACATGAAATTGGAAGGTAAGCACACTGCAGTCCTGTCATTAATATTTAAAAAAAAGAAAGAAAAGAAAATGTCAGAATGTGAAGGGAAAGGCATTTAAAAGGTTCTAGTTCTTTATGTTTGTACGTACTTTATTTCTTTTGTGTGTATGCAGAGCGTCTAGGCTGTTTCACTGGTTGGGGCTGAAGATGCAGCCCTTGCATATATAATCACTAATGAGTGTCAGGATTCAGCTGCTAATTTGAAAGGCTTTGTGGCTCTTTCACCCCAAACACGAGAAGCTTCATTAGGCGCTGTTTTGTCCAGCCTGACCTTTGCTGATCTCTAGATCACAGCTAAACACCAACATTACACCAACACCCTCCCAGTTGAAACAGTCCAGACATGATTCCTTTGGTGCATATCTTATCAGAATCTGCTACTGACATAAACTTGGGTGTCCCTGTAGCTTGCCACATAATTAGGATTACCTTCCCCCAAAGAGGCCCTATTTACTTACAATTGTGTTCAGTTGATTGGAGATTTGAATTTGAGAGCAATTAGCAAATTTCTCAGTCTCTCTCTCTTTTTTTTATTTTCTAAAAAAGGCACTTTTATAAGGCATAGCTTTTAAAATATGTTCTTATGGCTGTTTCAGTGTAAGCAACAGACAGCTACTAATAAGGTATTTCTCTCTTTGACTTAGGAAAAATACATAAAATTTATTATTAGTGATATCAGATTTTAAAAATGGAAAGAAAATCAAATGGTATTTTTTTTTCCTTTAGAGGTATGTCTTTGGGAGTACACTATCCTCAAAATCAAACCTTGTAGCAAGCAGGTGGAAGAGACTTTTCTGCTTACACTATTTTAAATATCCTGAGCAATGAAACAACAGGCATGATTTATTTGTCAAGCTTTTGGTTGCTGGGGAGGGAAGCCTTACTTTTCAGTGTTATTGTTTGTAGATTCTCCCCCTACTCTTCTCAATTGCTAGAGATTATTCTGCTTTAGTTTAAAATTTTACTGTATATTTGATATGAAGCAGTAGCTAAGTGGAGATATCTTTTGACATTATATGTAATTATCAACCAGAAAAATGCATCTTTATAAACTTATTTTTCAACAGATCCAGTCATCTACGTCAGGTCTCCGGTGACCTTATTTTGAAGTGGTTTGAATTCTCTTTCCTTTTTAGAGTCATAAAATTAGAGATGGGAAAGAGCTCTCTGATTGCATCACTTTTTCCACCCTTTTGGCCAGTGTGATCTCCCTCCCTCCAGCATATTCCCTGGTGTTCCATTCAGCCTAGTTTAGGATAAGAAGACCAGGGAGGCTTCTTGTCCAGGCCCTCTGGGAAAATGTCCCACGGCCCTTGACATGTGGATAAGCTTTTAGGCATGCAAGCTGAAGTTTTCTCCTGCTTTGAGACTGCTTCAATATTCTTGAGTTCAATGTCTTTTCTTGTTGTTCCTTTCTTCTAAAGCATCAAGAACTTTTTTCTCTGTCAAACAGCCTGCTCATATTGTGAACAGCAACAAAAAACCCACAACACTACACACAGGCATGGTTTTCCTCCTTCTTCCGTTCAAAACGACAACGTTATTTAAGGTGTTTCGTTGTTATTAACCACGTGTCTAAGACATGCCTAAATTTGAATGGTTCATAAATTTTACCTATAAATGAATCTCATAAATCCTTAGCCATTTCATAGACCCTGTGACTACAGCGTCTCAGAATCTTGTTGGTTTAGAGCCTTTTCAGGAGTCCAGGAACAAGATGGGGATACTGACAACATTTGTTTTTAGATGGATAGAAGTAAATTAATCAAAATCCTTTGTTTATGATGCATTGCCATCATTGGTCTGTGCCTAGCCTTTGTTATCATCATGTTATTTTTCCATTTATGAGTAATGTAGTGAACATCCATTAACCCACAGAGAGCCTGATTACTAGAACATTGACAATAATTTGTGTTTATCTATGTGCTTTCTCGTTTCTTATCTCCTGCCTTCTTTTTCCAGGTATACATTAATCTGAATTTTGTTTTTTTCATTCTTTTGCTTATTTAGATGCTTCTTATAATACACACATCTAAACAATATATAGTTATTGGTTTCGAACTTAATACAAAAGTTACTGTGGGTTTCTCTTTTAGTTATGGAGGAATAAGCTCCTAACAAACTAAGTCTCCTGCAAATAACTATAAATAACAAATAAAATAACTACCCAAGGGCTTTGGAGGTGCACAGAAGCAAGTAGGTTTTTGGAGGGGAGTTGAAACTTAGAGGAAGCAACTCCAATGAAGTTTTTCATTTCTGTTGGTTTCTGGAGGGTAGCCACAGTTTAGTAAAACGGTTTCATGATATGGCTAAAATTCTGACAGACAGCCCATACTCTTTTGGGCAGGAGAAACCATTTGAAAACGCTCAGAGTAACCAGAGCCACCACAGAGTGAGGGGGAATCCTAGGGGAAAAAAAGAGAGAGCTAAATAAGAGAAACACCAAATTCTTTGTGTATATTCTACAAAGTCTCTGGACCCTGAGTCATGCATGTAGGGGCAGATTGAAAGTGTCTAAACTGAGATCCGAGCTACCGTCCACCGTAGATATCAACATTTAAACATTCAAAGAAGAAGTAATGAAATCTTACAGAAAATCTTTCCGAAATTTGAAGACGAAATGCTTCCCAACATGTTTTATAGCCAGCATGACATTAATACCAAAACCTAACAAAAATGTGTTACCAAAAAAATTACAGAATAACATGCCTCATGAGCAGAAACTAAAATACTTTCCGGAAGGTTAGCAAATCAAATCCAACAACATATAGAAAGGTTAATAGATTATGATCAATGTGGATTTATACCAGGAATACAAGATGGGTGTAAAGTGAAAAAAAAATCTATCTAATTCATCCTATTAACAGGATAAAAGAGGAAAACTATGTGACCATTTTAATAGATACAGAAAAAGCATTCAAAAAGACTCAATATTATTCATAATAAAAACTTTCAGCAACCAGGAGTAGAAAGCTTCATCAGTTTAATAAAAGACTACAGTCCTACACTTAACATCACAACTGATGGCAAATATTGAATGCTTTCACACTAAGATCAGAAACAAGATAAGGATTCTTGGATTGATACTGCTATTTACCATTGTTATGAAGGTCCTCCATGGTGTAATAAACACACACACACACAAAAGAAATAAAAGGAGTGAAGATTGGAGACAAAGAAGTAAAATTGTCCATTTCTGCAGATGACAGGGTTGTCATTGTAGAAAATTCTAAGGAATTTACAAAACAACTGCTAGAAGTAATAAGTGAATAAGAATGAGGTTATGGGATGCAGGATTAAGATACAAAAACCAATTGTATGTTTTCATAATTGCAGCATAAAATTTAAAATGAATTTTTTAAAATGTTAATTACAGTAGCACCAAAACCTTAAAATATTTAGGAGCAAATATAACAAAAGATATGTAGAATCTCTTCACTGAAAAACCAAACAACATTGCTGAAAAAATTAAAGAAGACCTAAACAAATGAAGATATATTATGTTTGCGAACTGCTCAGTTCTCCCTAAATTGATCTGTAGATTCAGCTCAATCTACTGATTGGGTAAAAATCTCAGCAGGCTTTTGGGCTTTGAAAATAAACAAGCTGATTGTAATATTTTTTGAAAATAAAAAAAGATTTCGAATAGTCAAAGTGAGTATAAAAAAATAAAAGTTGATGGACTGTACTATCTGATTTCAGGCTTACTATGAAGCTTTGATTATTCAAAACAAAGTAATATGAAAGGTGGACACATAGATCAATGTCAAAGAAAAGTAAATCCAGAAACAGACCCATATATATACAGCCAAATGAATTTGGCACAGTTTCAAGGCAATTTAATGAGGAAACAGTAGTCTTCGATAAATGGTACCTGGACAGATAAATATCAATATGGAAAACCGTGACCTTTACCTCATACCACATACAAAAATAATTACAAAACAGATCTTACACTTAAATTTTTTTAAAAAATGAAATCTATAAAACTTCTAGAAGAAAACTTAATCTTTGCAACCTTGGAATGGGCAAAATTTCTTAGATTCGGACACAAAAAACATAAACAACATAAACCACTGAAGAAAATAATGACAAAATTTTAAAATTTTCAGTCTTTGAAAGATATCATTACAAAAATCAAAATGTGGTCCATAGTCTTGGGGAACATAGTCTAGGGGAACATATTTTCAACCTATAAATCTGGATATTATGTAAATCTCTATCCAGAATACATAAAGGAGTCTTACAACCCACTAATAAAAAAGACAAACACCCCAATAAAAAATGCTCAGAAGTTTGAATTGACTCTTCATAAAGGGATATATCCAAATGGCCAACAAGTATATGAAAAGATGTTAAAAAACATTAGTCATGGCTGAAATGCAAATTAAAACCATAGCAAGATACCACTGCACACACAATAGAATGGCTAAAATTTAAAAAGCTAACAATACCAAGAATGACAAATATATGGATCCACAGATAGAGGCAGATATGAATGTAAAATGGAACACCCTCTTTGGAAAACTTTTTGGCAGTTTCTTAAAAAGTCAACCCACATCTACTGTACAACCTAGCCATTCTGCTCCTAGATATGTACTCAAGACAAATAAAAATGTATGTCCACATAAAGACTTGTACACAAATATTCTTAATAGCTTTATTCACAATAACCAACACCAGGAAACAACCTGTACATTGGAATACTACTCAGCAAATAAAAGGAATGAACTATACTAAAACATGGGATAACATGAATGAATTTGAAGATCATTATATTGAATGAAAGACGCCAGACACAAAAGAGTACATTTACTGTGATTCCATTTGTATACAATTTTAGAGAACACAAACTAATTTAAAGTGACGAAAAGATCAATGGTCGCTTGGACTGGGGACAGAGGGAAAGACACAGACTGCAAAGGGTATGAGGAATATACTGGGGGTGAAAAAAATGATTGGTATCTTAATTATGGCCTTGTGTCTTCATTATAGTATGTATATATCTGCAACATTTTATAAAGTTGTACAATTTGAATAGATACAGCTTATCATACATAAATTTTATCCCAATAAAATTTTTTTGAGAAGGATATTCGGCTGAATGTCATCTTCTGGGGCTTATTTCATTAAACATTTATTCGATATGATTTAACAAATATTTGAAGAATGTAAGAAGGAAGGAAGATAGATAAATTTATATCAGTCACTTCTGTAGTGGGAGAGAAAAAAGATGAAAATAAATCCAAGTCTTCTTAAACAAAACAACCCAATTCTAGATTTCATATCTATCCATCTTAGATATCAAAGAATAACCTTTCTAGAACCATGCTCACCATAACTTACATTCAAGGCTATTATTGCTTTCAGTATTAAGGGAAAACTTCAGTTTGTATCAGCAACATTCTCTAATCTGTCAAGTTATGCAGTTTTTTGTTTTGTTGTGCTTGAAATCTTGGAGCAGCAAAGCAAGAGGGGCATATTAGTTAAAACACTTTTGGCTGCAAGTAATAAGACATCAACTCAAAATGACTCAAAACATTGGAAATTACTGGCTTACATAACTTAGAAGTCCTCAGGGATGACCAACACCGAGAATAGCTTGATCCAGATACCAATGTTATTATTGGAATTCACTTCTTATTTCTTATTATTGGCTGGGTCTTTAAGTGTTGGCTTCATCTGTAGACAGACTCCTCTTGTGGTGGCTGCTGGCAGTTTGAGCTTTACATTCAGTCAAGAGACTCTCATTGTTTTAGCTTGATTTGCATGTTTTTCTTTGGACCAATCAGTGTGGGAAGGAGGATGGAATGCACTGATTGGCAAGGTATAGTCATGTGCTCCTTCCCAAGCCAGGCAGGGTGGACCCCATCGGTACCACACAAATTAACAGTGGAATAGGAGTGAGTTTTCAAAGGAAAATTGGTGTGCTATTACCAGAATAAGGTGGTTTAAATGTTCCACAGGCAAAAATCACAGTTACCCTCTCTCTCAAAGATAAACACATGAGGTAAGTGACGTCACTAAGAGGAACCTCACTAGTGGAAAAAATTTTAAGTTCCTGGTCCTAGTTGTCTTCCAACCTCTTTTTCCAAGGACCATGGCCATCTGTTCATGGCACAGGAAGCTAGAACACTCTCAACCGTGGTGGTGGTGATGATGAATTGAAAATCCTGGAATGGTAAATGCCTTCTTAAACTTCCATTAAGCCCAGCAATCTGACAGTGTGGCTGTATTGGTTAGCTATAGCTATGTAAAAAATTCACCACAAAATGCAGCTTCTTAAATAACAAACATTTATTATCTTACAGCTTCTGTGGGTCAGGAACCAAGGTGCAGCTTAGCTGGGTCCTCTAGCTCAGTCTTTCTCACAAGACAGTAATGAAGATGTCGTCCAGAATAGTGGTCTCATTTCAAGGCATGACTTGGGTGGAATCCACTTCCAACATTACTCAGGTGGTTGTTGATAGGAATCAGTTGCTCACAGGTTGTTGGACTGAAGGCCTCAGTTTCTCATGGTTTTCTGGGTTTTCTGTTTACTATTGGCCAGTGCCCTTCCTCTATGCCTTGCCATATGGACCTCTCCACAGGGCAGCTCACAACATGGTAACTGTCTTGAATCAGAAGGAGCAGAAAGATGCAGGAAGATGGAAAGCAGGGTCTTTTGGTAATCTAATCTCAGAAGTAATACTCCATCACTTTGGCTGAACTTTTTTTTTTTATTAGAAGCAAGTCACTAGGTCCAGCTCATATCCACACCCAAGGGAGGAACAATTACATATGGGCATGAATACCAGACAGGGAGATCGCTGGGAACATCTTAGAGGCTACCCATCATCTTAGAGGCTGCCCATCATAGTGGCAGTGGCAACAGAGGAAATACTTTGCTAATATCTCTTGCCATTGAAGTTTTCTGTTGAGAGCCTTAAATCATGGACTGGATACATGAGGCGGACAGAGGCATTTCCAGAAGCTAGGTAGGACCTTTGGCAAGATGGAGTTTATGTTCATGGTTACTAATGCAAACCAGATAAAAAGACAAAACCGAAACTGTTAGAGAGTTTGATTGTGAGGTACAGAAATGATTACAGAAACAAGCTGAGAAAATAAATGCGTGACGAGAGGTGAAATAGAGATACATGCCAAGGCTTGTATTTAAAGTGTTCACCACAGAGAGAATCAGCCAAAAAATGTCCAAAACCAAGGGAATGGTTTACAAATTGCAGTGTGTCCATACGATAGAATACCATGTAGCTGCTAAAGATACTTTTTTGGAACAGTGGCTTTTAAACTTTTTTTAACCACAACTCACAGTAAGAAATCTGTTTTACACCAAAAATAAGTATATATAACTATTTGAACTGAAATAAAAATTTCATAGAGGATGTTTATCCATTGTACATAATATGCACTTTGATATTTTTGATTCTATTCTACAACATTTTTTATAGTGGTAAAATGTGTATATTGTAGAATTTACCATTTTAACCATTTTAAGTGGCATTAAGTACATGTACATTGTTGTGCAATTGTCACCACTATCTCCAGAACTTTTCCAGCTTCTCCAACTGAAACTCAGTTCTCTAGCTCCCATTTCCTTCTTACCCAGCCCCGAGTAACCACCATTCCATTTTGTGTCTCAATGAATATGACTACTCTAGGTAACTCACATAAGTGGAATTACACATTTGTCCTTTTGTGACCAGCTTATTTCACTTAGCATGATGCTTTCAAAGTTCATCCATGTTGTAGCATGTGTTAGAATTTCCTTTCTTTGTAAGGCTGAATAATATTTCATTGTATGTATACATCACATGCTGTTTATCCATTTATTTGTTGATGGACACTTGGGTTGTGAAGGTACTTGGAGCAAAAGTGTGAAACCTCTCTGTGAGCATCAGGTTGAAAATCTCTGTTGAGTCACAGTATCCTAAACTGCAACTAAGGTCCTCTTCTCCCTTCATTTTCATGCTTAATTATTATTATTATTATTATTATTCGAGACAGGCCCTTGTTCTGTTGCCTAGGCTGGAGCGCTATGGCACCACCACGGCTCACTGCAGCCTCAAGCTTCCAGGTTCAAGCAATCCTCCCACCTCAGACCCCCAAGTAGTTGAGACCACAAGCATGCACCACAACCTCTGGCTGGTTTTTTAGTTTTTTGTAGAGATGGGATCTTATGTTGCCCAGGCTGGTCTCAAATTGTTAGACTGAAACTGTCCTCCAGCCTTGCCCCCGCAAAGTGCTGGGATTGCAGGCAGGAGCCACTGCGCCTAGCCTTACCGCTTAATTTGAGAGACATATTCTGTAGATATACCCAAATGTTGTGCACAAATGGCGTGCACTGTAGCTGGGATTGACAAGAATCACGCTTTGACTTTAGCAACCCTGAAAAATGTTTTTTTTTTGTCATTTGGTTGCATGTGGTTTATAGAGATTATTCTGAGTCTGGGCATTAAATTGATTAGTTGTCCTTCAAAAATCCATGGGTTATGGTTCTAAGAGAAAAAGATAGCAAATCAGGACACATGTGCACCCCTGCATCAATGGTAGAAACTTATTCCTGTGTCTTCTCAAGTTTCATTTGTTCATTAACTTAACTACCATTTATCGAACGCCTGCTCACTGTAATGTCAGGCACAGTCCTAGGTGCTGGGAATATGGGAATGGACAAATTAAAATACTGTCCCCAGAAAACCTTATTAGCCTCTTAGTAAAAGAGAGAGAGAAGTAGATCATTTAACAGACTGTCACAAGTGCTACAGCAATTTTGTAAGATGACTTGGGAGACAGACATGATGAGCACCCAATTCAGCTTGGGTAAGGACAAGCTTCAGGAAGACTGAGACGAATCTGGAAGAGGATATTTAAGGCAGAAAGGGCAGCATGCCCAATGAGTAGAAGCAAGTTAGAATGCAGGACATGTGTGGTAAGATGAGAAGGTCATAAGGGCCTCATGTGCCGGGTGAGAGAGTTTGGATGGTATCCTGTGGTTTTGGTGAACCATGGAAAGGTTTTAAGCAGGACAATTATTTGGCTATATTTATCTTTTGGAAAGAACTCTAGCAGCAATGTGGACTAAGATGAAGGGAATGGGAAGGAAGTGAGACCAGGAATGTTATAATTGTCCAGGAACAAGATGTTGAGGATCTTACTTTGAAGCATCATCACGTGAGGTGAACAGGAAAGAAAGACCCAAGACAAGCGGAGAAGACAGAATTGAAAGGTTTAGAACTAATGGGCTGAGGGCAAGGGAGAAGTTAAGATTAAATTTCTGGCTTGCTGGCTAATATTAAATGATTCTCTAGTAATCTGATAATGAACCATTAATTGAGTCTTTTTCCAAGGAGCCCTATTGTGAGAAACGTTTGATGATTTTCTCAGGATATAGCTGGGCACCCTTTCTAGGTGGCACATCCTGCAAGCTTCTTTCTTCCATTATCTGTGGAGGTATATTTATGGAGAGAATCTTAGAGGTTAAAAATTGGTCTATGCAGGATGGCTAGAGGCAGAGGAGGTGGGAAAGAAGCAAGGAAAGAAGCGGCCATTGAAACTAGAACATGGTACTAAGGGTTAGGATAAAGAATGTAGCAACATGAGTCTGGAAGTAGAAATAAGCCACCAGGCCCTTAGCTGGGAAGAGTGGGAGATTTGGGGGATATAGATAAAAATAGCTCAGGGCACAGATGATTTAGATAAGACTGTAAGTGATATGAAGGCAGTTGGCTTTTAGAAAAAGTTTTGTAGAGATATAATTCATGTATCGTACAAATCACCCATTTAAAGTGTATAATTTAGTGGTTCTTGGTATGTTCAGAGTTAGGCAGTCATTACCACGGTCAATTTTAGGATGTTTTCATCACATAAAAAAGAAACTTCATAACTATGAGTAGATAATTTCTCTAATTCTACTAATGGCCATTTCTCTGCCCTCTACCCCCTGTCTCCAGACGATTACTCATCTCCTTTTTGTCTCTATATGTTTGAGTATTCTGGACACATTTAAAAAAAATTCCTCCCATCTAACTATAATTTATATATTCTTCAATCAACTTTTAAGTGGTGCTTGCTGCTTATTATGGGGGCTTGTTTGCTTGACTGACCATACTGGGCCAGTAGGGTAGGGGACAAGTGAAGGGAGGTTTTCCAAAACCTCTTACATTAGAATCATGAGCTGACTCTCCAGCTGTCCACCTCATGATGGACCATCCTATGTGTACCTTAAAAATGAAAATGAATAATAAATTTTCATAAAAGAAAGTGCTGAAATCAAAGTGGATAAAGTGATTAACATGGACAGATAAAAAATTCAGTCACCAAGCACTTGTACAACCACTCACAAGTTGAAGTTGCAGCAAATAATTTAGATATTGCTGGTCGAATGACATGATTCTAGCTGGGCTGAAGCTACTCTCCATGGAGTTCTCTGGGTACCTTCCATGACACAGTGATAATGAGCCATAAGTGCTTTCCTTGAAGAATTCTTAAGAATCAGACCATGCTCCTTTAGGGAAATTTACTTGTTTTATATTATCAGATTAATAAGTGTAGAGAGGGAAACCATTTGCCTGCTAATCAATGGGGGATATGGAAGGAGTGATCATGATAATGATAATGATGGTGAAGATGATAATGATAATGATAATAACACATTGCATTTGAGGGCTTACTCCTGGGGGAGGCACTCTCTGAAGGGCTTTACACACCTCTCTATTTAGTTCTCTACCTGCTCCTTGAGTACCTTTAACTATAGAAAAGGAGGCTAGGTTCAAGAGATATTAACATTATAGTAATGTACTTAATAGGAGAATATACTTAATTGGAGAAGTAGGACTGAACTTGGCTCTTTCTGCTATGCTGCTGCTACATCTCCGATTCTGAGATTTTTCATCTATAAAAAGGAGTAACAGTAGGCATGCATCCTTATTAGGTTGTTTGCTGCTATGGGAACTAGGTGAGTTAATACATGTAAACTTTCTAGGACCATGTCTGTCATCTAGTAAGTGCTTAATGAATATTAGCCATTATTTTGTATTATTGTTGTCATTACTATTCAATACTACTTTTGATATTAAAAAAAGATAGTCCATATTTTAAGAAAAAAGTAGATGGTAAGAAAACAGAAATGCACACACATAAAGTCAGTGAAAACTACACTTCTTTTCCACTTCCATCAAAGACTATTAAATGTAGGGCCTGCTATTGTATATTTATTCAGACATCAATCTTAATCAGCTCCTTTGCTACTTTGGCGGTAAGGGCATTGTAATTCTATTTTTATCGGTTCCTTCCTGTGCACCAGACATTCAAAATAGCATGAGTAAGGATCAAAAATATCTTAATGGATTTGGTTCCCAGAGATATCAGTGACCAGGGGAAGAGTTTTGCAGAAATTTCTTCCTGAACTGATAAGGAAGGTAAGTGGGGAAGGTGTAGGGAGGGCTGGCTATGCAGCTTGCTGTTAAGTCTGCATGGTGTGAAAGGCAAAGATCCAGTGGTGGAGTGAATTACAAGGGTCCCTGGAAGAATCTGGGGGATCAGAGCATAAATGCCTCCTATTTTCAGGTTTATGATTGGGACCAGTGTTGTGTAATCATTGAAGATAATACTGACCCCTCATGAGGTAGCCATGGTTTTGGTGAACAGAGTTCCTGGTGTGATTGTGTTACACACACACACAGACACAATATGGAGGTTCCTATATGATTAATATTTTTATTTGTATATCTTGCCTGGGCATCTTTTCTTTCTTTTCTCTCTCCTTTCTTCTTTCTGCTTCTCTCCTAATTATTTTACCTCTTCTCCTCCTTTTACCCTCTTTTTCCCCTTGGCCTCTCTTTCACTCTCCCTTAATGCCATTTTATATTCAGACTAGTCATCATCAAAAAGTTATCAAAGTTTGTAAACTGAGATTGATGGGAAGAGAAAATGAGATTAGAATATCCAGAACAACTATAGTTCTTACAGCAATGCATACAGTGGTAGGCTATGCCACATGGTGAAGTGTGACACAATCTTAGGTGGTGCAGAGGTGCACATTTGTTCTTTAGTAATTATGTATTTATTGCATGCATATTGAAAGAGAGAGAGAGAGAGAGAGAGAGTGTGTGTGTGTGTGTGTGTGTGTGTGTATAGTATGCCATATTTGTGATTTCATGGATATTCTTGTTTAGGATGAGGATAAATTTATTTAAGTAATAAAAGTGATACCATATGTAGAGAAATACTTAGTAAATATTAGTACAGGTGGTACACAGATGTAGCTAATGAATCATGACTCTAGTACATGAGGACTGAAGCTTGGGATACACTGTTGTAATACATGGCATCTTTTACTTGCATCGGGGGGCCTCTGGGGAGAGCTGTAGGATGTGGTTGTTGGTCCATTCCAAGTGATCTCCAAGGAGCCTCCATGTTGTTTTGCCTTGGTTCTGCCATAGCATCAGTAAGCACATCTTGGAGCTAAGGATTCTGAATAAAACCAGCCCCCTCCTACCCCCAACAGTTCCACAGCTGCATCTCTTGATGAAAGCCCAAGGCGTGAGCAATAACTCTGCACCAGCAACTCGAGTTTTTAAACATTTAAACATGTGTAGCAGGTGTGAATGTTATTCTATGATATGCAGATGCAAGAAATTTCACATCAATATATTTGTTTGTTTGTTTTTAGAGTAGAAGTAAATCTAAATCTGAGTCTTGTCTCTTGGAGTGGGAAAGAATTAGATCGCACTTGTAATGGGGGTTCACTCGACCTTGGCTCCCAGCCCAGGGCCTGGGGGAGATCCAGGCCATTTGGTGGGAGCCCTCTGGACTGTGGTCCACACTGGCCACTGCTGATGGGTCCTCTGTTAGTATCCATCAGGTACTGGGCCCTTAAAATCAGGCAATGTCTCTGTTTTCACTGACTTGGGCTTGGGGATCCCTTCCCAAGCTGGGAGTGATGGCATGATTTGGGACATCACACAGCTGTGCCAGCTGAGAGCTTGTCACTCCCCCACTAAGCCTGCCCCCTTGCCAGGAATTCCAGCTGAGTCCTCACTACTCCAGACAATCCCTCCCTTTTCATTCTAGAGGAATCCCCCTCCTGCTTAATCTTGACTGTGTCTGGAAGCCCTTCACCCTCACCCCTGTCTCCAAAGGCACTCACCTGGCTCTCCTCCCATATGTGTTGATCTAGCCTTGTGCCCTCAGTGACAGCAAAAGCCAGAAAGTGTGGGGGTGGGGTGTTTTTGCAACTTCTGTTTAAACCATCACATACAAACACCCCTGAGGCAAAGGGGCACGAGGTCTTCTTAGAATAAGGGAGAGAAAATCAAACACAGATTAATATCTCTATCAACAATTCTGTCATGTGAAGGAAAAATTCGAAATTTTTGTATATGCATAAAGGGTATGTTATAATATGACACATACATACACACACGTATTCAATTCAGAGGCTCAGAAGTGTGTTCAAATAGGCATATGTATTAAGCATGGTTTCCCGTTGTTACCAGAGTTGGCATGGAATTATAGAATCTAAATGTTATGCTTGTATAGGCCTTAACAATTATCTCTTCCAAATGCATTTTATCCAAAAATGCAGTAGGTATTTGGGGCCACAAAGCACTGTTTCAGTTGAATTTGCAAAAGCATTCAAACTGGGAGAAAATAATAGAATCAGCCCAGTTTCTGGTCTAACCTTTGGTTCATTTGCATCACTGCCCCTTCAGTATTGATGTTTTAAAACTCAATGGCTACCCTGATCCTTTGCTCTTTGCATTCAGCCCCATTCCTCATTGCCCTGCTCCCCTCTGCATCAAAGGGCAGATTGACCTCTGCCATCTAGGGTCCAGCGATCCCTGAAGGGCCCTTTCCTCAATGGATCCAGCTGGACAGCCCACCATTGGACCGGATGTCAGGGTGCTCCTGGCCTCCAGCTGAGCAGCACCTCTTCCTTTCATCACTCCAGCCCCATGGCAGGGTGCAGCATCTTTCGGTTGCTAAATCCACATTCCTCTTCTAACACTTTTGAAAGTAATGCTCCAATTTAATATTAATTCCTAGATTGAATTACCTGACTCTATCATACCTTGCTCTCTTAGCTGAATCCTGATTCAAAGGGGGAAGATAAGTCTATTAAGTTTCAGAGACTAAAATTTGTAGGTCAGAAGCTTAGATTCTATATAGAAATCCACAGGAACAAATAATAATACCTTTCATTTTTGTCATTCAATAGTTATAGATCTATTCTTCTTTTGCAGGCTTAAGAGCAAAGAGTGTGCACTCATGGAGTTACATTCTAGCAAGGAACAGGCCAACTGAAAAGAAAAGTAAAAGAATATCAGGCACTGAGAAGTGCTGTGCACAGGAGTAAAATAGGATGGTATTTTAATATTTGGGGAAGGCCTTGTAATTACTATAAGCTTGGATGTAGCTTTCAAAGACACTGAAGCCCTATACAGTCATCCCTCAGTATATGTGGAGGATTGGTTGCAGGACCCCCATGTATACTCAAATCAGCACATATATACAAAAAGTCTGCCCTCCATATACATGAGTTTCACATCCTGCAAATGTATTCTCAGTCTGTGTGTGGTTGAAAAAAATCCGTGTATAAGTGGACCCACACAGTTCAAACCTGTGTTGTTCAAGGGTCAACTGTACTGTTTTTGCTGCTGCTTCAGATTCTACTTACCAAAGGTCACAAATTAGGGCTACATTTGGAATCTAAATATGTTGTTTTCCATGTGCAGTATTTTATTTAAACAAAGCAGAAAAGGCTAGGCTGGGCATGGTGGCTCACACCTGTAGTCCCAGCACTTTGGGAGGCCCACCCAGGTGAGCGGATTGTTTGAGACCAGGAGTTCAAGACCAGACTATGCAACATGGTGAAAGCCCATCTCTACCAAAAATAAAAGCAAAATTTAGCCAGGCATGATGCCGTGGGCCTGTAATCCCAGCTATTCAGGAAGCTGAGTTGGGAGGGTTGCTTGAGCCAGGGAGGCTGATGTTGCAGTGAGCTGAGATCATGCCACAGCATTCCAGCCTGGGAGACAGAGTGAGACCCTATCTCCAAAGAAAAAAAACACACAAAAACCAAACAAGTTTAAAGGTCTTCTTGTGGAACATTTACTGTCCAGTGTGTGGTAGTTCCCATAACTATTTCCAATTGTTTTATATTACAGCCTCACCAGCTTACCATATCTACATGAACTCCAAATGCAGTTCCAATGTGAATTTGAGATCATTTTAATTTGCTTAGCATCACTTCCGTTTGAGAACTTACCATATACCAGATACTGCTGAACAGTTCATCTTCACAACATACTTTGTGAAGAAAGTATACTAACTCTAATTTTCAGACCACATTGCTTAGACCTAGAGATTACATGCCTAAAACTATATAGCTAGTGAGTAGTAGAAATAGGACTGTTTGCTTACTACTAAAGCCTATCTCTTAACTGAGTTGAATTGAACGAGCCTGTGATAGATATCCGTGGTGTCTTATTTGTGTTAGCAATGCCTCCCCAACCTGATAAGTTCCTTGAAGACGAGTTAGTTACTCGTCTAAATCCCCACATTATCACAATAGAAACTAAACACAAATTATGAAATTATAATTTTATAAAATTATAAACCATAAAAGTGAATTGATTAGAGATAAAACAACAAATCATAGCTTTGAATATTCCCAGGTTTGTCTCTGAAGTTGATCAGAGATTCTTCTGATAAGCAAAATAACTTAGCAGGTTTCTGCCCAATGGCACAAAACAGACACATGAAATGCCAACTGTTTATCCAGATGATTAGAAAACAGCCAGTTTGAAGAAGTGAAAAGCCTGAGTTTCAAAGTGGCTTATTAAAATCAAGTACAACAAGAAACTAAAGGTAAACTTTTTGACATTACCATGGCAAAGTGAGAAAGAAAGGATGACATGTGTAAGTAGGTTGTGTTTTCAATGTAGTGTTATCAATTTCTCTTTCTTGGGAAGGATGATCCCTCATTGTGAAATTATGTCCATCCTACTTTTTAGGCTTAAATTTTTTAAAATTGAAATGTAGACGATAGTCAAGTGGTATGTGTGTGTGTGTGTGTGTGTGTGTGTGTGTTAGTATCCTTTCATGGTAGAATAAAAATTAACAACTTATTAGTACCTAAACATTCCTTGAAATTTTACTAGTCCATGAGATCCAAGTCTGATAACCTCTGCCTCTGATAAAAGATCAACTTAAACAAGCTGATGTATTTATCATATCACTTACTTGTTAGGATAATATTTACATTGTTATTAAGGTATCATAGATATATGTCGATATAACTAATCAAATTTATATTGAACACTTGCTATATACCAGTTTTTAGTCAAATAGTTTAAATGTCTCTTTGAATTTTGTTTTTTAGGTATTGCGTGGGTAAATTTCAACCTAGCTCTTCCCTGACCTATATTTTCTAAAATTCACCATTGTAGGGTTCAAATTATGTGTTATTTCATTTAAGTGTGTGTGTGTGTGTATATATATATATATAAAATAACAGTTTAGACATAATCCCATATCAGTTAGGATTTTTATGTTCCATGCAATTTTATGTTAAGAAAAGTCAACCCAAACAATCTTGTACAAATGCAATCTATTGTCTCCATATTTTAAAACTTCAAAGGTAGATATGGCTTTAGAGATTTTGATGTGGCCTTAACATGTAACCCAGATACTGTTTCTTCCTTTACACTTCTGAGCTCCATTTCTCACAGGTTGGCTCCATCCTCAGGCATGCTGTCTCCTTAGGCTTTCAAAATGATGGCCAGCCACTTCGCAGAACTAAGCTGGGAGGAAAGAGCAAAATCCAGAGACTGAGCCTGCTGGCTGATTTGGCTCCTATGCTCATGCCTGCACCAACCTCCAGGGCTAAAGGGGTGGAATGCACAAATGGCCTTAGCCTGGGTCACAAGTGCCATCTTGCTGGGCCTGAAGTGCAGCCACTTCACTGTGGATCCCCAAATGGAAGTTGGGGCTGTTGGGGAGAGGAAATGGAGGAATGAGTATAGGAAACCAACTAACAAATGTCCACTACGAGCTGTTTACTGGGGGTAGGAAATAAACAGCTTGTCTTTGAAGCTCATTTTCTTTACACAATTACAATCATTTGGTGTTTATTTTCTTCAGTTGTTATCAGGATTACATTGCAATTGATATTTCAAAATTGCCCTGAGTGGATAGCCGAGAAAACCTTCGTAGTGAGATAAATCTGTACAAAGACAAGGTGGTAGAGATTTCTCACTTCTTATACCCCTGTTGTAAGTTTACCATTTGAATAAAAATGGACAGATTCAATTGCAAAGTCATTGAACTATTGCTGACTCTTGTTTCCTTTTAGGAAAACCACAGGTTCTTTAGGAAAGTCAACTTTTCTCCCTCCAATAGTTAATGCTGTTTTCCCAACTGTTCCCCTTCTGTATGACCCTTTTCTTTCCAGATTTAAAATCTCTTCATATGTGCCTTTTAAAACATCTTGTTAAACTTTCCATTCATCAAATAAATACCAGATGATAGGGACTGTGCCCTTTTCCATACTTTTTGCCATGTGGATAATAAATACATCTATTTACTTCATTTTCCATCAATTAAAAATACTACAGTGGCTTTTTATTTAATCGATTATATGGAAGTTAGAGGGGATGGGAATGGAACATTATTAGACTTCTTGTTTGCGAGTACTTGGACATTAGTAAACTTCTCTTGGAGATCCAGTCCAGGAAAATAGATTGCTGGCCAGAAATAGAAACAGCATTTTTTCCCCTTAATAAAGGAAGTCATTGTTTAAAATAATACTTAAAAATTTTAAAAAGACTAATTGTCCCTTTCCTTTTTAAGAGTATTTTTGAACATACTTTTAAAAGACTCTTGGTATCTTCATATTATTTTACAATTATGCAGTGATTTTTTAATGCAGAGCGTGTATTGAAGTCTATTATTCCTTCCCGCCCAAGTTGAGTGTATAAGTTGTGGGTGATTTTTGCTCTCTTTCCAGCTGTGTCATAGAATCACACAAATGAGTTCATACTGGGGCTTAGTGCTTGTAGATTTTCCATTTTGTTTGCTTTTTGCTGTTTTCAGTGTATTGTTAGGTTAAAGGAATGCTTCTATCTTTGATTACTCCCTGGTAATGGGGACATCTTTACCCTGGAAAGCAGGAGGTAATGAAGAACAGGTGTTCAATGTGAACTTTCAGTTTTGTTTTCTCAGAAATGTGCCCAAAAGTAGGGCAAAGCTTTCCAAGTTTTTTAACGCAGATTATTGTATTGATAGCTGCAGTATTTCCCCTGGTCTCCCTCCAGCACCCATATCCCAGGCCTCTGAGTTTGACAGCACTTGAAGGAGCCATGAAAACTTGCTAACTTACAATTGATAAGTTGATCAAATGAATTTATGCAAGACAGTGAGTGCCCAGCATCTCTGCCTCAATGTTTACACAGGATAATCTCCTAGAACGTAGCAAAGTTTTCATTTGTGGTAAGAAATAGATGTTGCTTCCCTTCAGAATCTGAAATAAGATTAGACAAAAAATTCTAGAGATAAAATTGTCAGGATGAATTTTGCTTAAATATCTGAGGGCCGGAGGAACATTTACTCTTCATAAATAAGATTTAGCCCCCATAGTCAACTTCCAGGGAACATCTCTATTTTTTCAAGGTCTTTTTTTTCATCATATGCCTGCCTCAGGGTGCTGAACTTTGGACTGTAAGGTCAGGCAAGTCTCCATCTTTTTATCCTGCAACAGGCCTGACAGTCTTTGGGACTCCTTTTCCTAATGCAGACGTTGTAGTTTGAGTCACAGCAGCTACGGAGTGCTTTCCACTCGAGCAAGGGTAGACTTGCTGGCTCTCAACTTCGCTGTGGCACAAATGCAGTACTCACCGAGGCCAGTTCTGTAGCATCTCTGGTGCAGCGTCACCCTTTTCCTAATATATTCTTTTCATTTTTTTATTGGTAAAATATACATAACATAAAATTTACCATTTTTAACTATTTTTTAAGTGTACAGTTCAGTGGCATTAAGTACATTCACATTGTTGTGCAACCATCACCACCATCCATCTCCAGAGCTTTTTTCGTTATTTCAAACTGAAACTCGGTATCCATTAAATGATAACTACCATTCCTCCTTCACCCGAGCCCCTAGCAACCACCATTCTACCTTCCGTCTATACGAACTTGACTATTTTAGGTGCCTCATATAAATGGAAATCATTCAATCTTTACCCTTTTGTGTCTGGCTTATTTCACTTAGTCTAATGCCCTCAAGATTCATCCACGTGTCAGAATTTCCTTCCTTTTTGAAGCTGAATAGCATTCCCCTGTGTTTATATATCACATTTTGTTTATCCATTCGTCAATGGACACATGGGTTGCTTCCACCTATTGACTATTGTGAATAATGCTGCCATGATTGTGGTTGTACAAATACCTGTTCAGATTCCTGCTTTCACTTCCTTTGGGTATATACTTAGAAGTGGAATTGCTGGGTTACATGGTAATTCTGTGCTTAGTATTTTTAGGGATTGTCATACCACTGTACACAGTGACTGCCCTATTTTACATTCCCACCAGCAATCTGTAAGCTACTTTTTAGCAGACATAATTCCCATCACACCCTACTCTCAACAATATAAAACCAGTATTCATCTGATTCTTTTCTTAATTTAAAATTAAAAATTTTAAAAATATTTATTTGTTTATTTAATGTCTTTATTTTTTAGAGACAAGCTCTTGCTCTGTTGCCCAGGCTGGAGTGCAGTGGCACTATCATAGTTCACTGCAGCCTGGAACTCCTGCGATCAAGCAGTCCTCCCTCCTCAGCCTCCAGAGTAGCTGGGACTACAGGTGCACCACCATTCCTGGCTAACTTTTTAAAAAAATTTTGTAGAGACAGGAATCTCACTCTCTTGCCCAGGCTGGTTTTGAAACTCCTGGCCTCAAGTGATCCTTCCACCTCAGCCTTCCAAAGTACTGGGATTACAGGCATGAGCTACCACGCCCAGCCTGATTCTTGTCAGTAAAGGTTTTTCTCCATTTTTGGGGTGAGGGGGAAAGTTGGACACTGCACTTATATTGTCGCCACGGGAAGCAGAAATGTATCAAAAGAAGACAAGAAGAAAAAAGCAAAAACTATGGCAAAATGCAGAAGAAAAGCCAGCATTCACAAAGGATACAGGACCCTCTGGATTTAAACAGAAAATGCTATAAGCAGGGTGTGAAACTCCCATCTGTCCATTGCTGCTTCCTTTTAGGGTGTACCTGATCTTGTGTGTGCCAAGTACAAAATGCCCCGTGTGCCTTTGTAACGGCCAAGCTCCCAGTGCTTTCTCATTCCCACAGTGGCCATGTGGTCTACAAAGTGAAGCAGACGCCAGGCTGACTCTCAAATAAAGCCTCCTTGCTGCTGTTTGCCTCCAGATAGTTCAAGCCATTTCCTTTCATTTTTGGAAAAAAAGAGTGTCAGTTTGGCTTTCTGAAAACAGTTGCCACCTTTGGGCAAAGCTAATTAACTACAATACACATGTTCAGTTCAGGATTTCCAAAGAGAAAGAAATGTTTGATACTGGTGTATGTTACCCAACCTGACCACACATATGGCAGGTTTGGGCCAAGAGGAGGGAGCAGGAGGACATTAGTTCTGATTTCAGGTAACTGTTAACTCGTTCTACTTCTTGGAATAATATGATACCAGAGAGAGAGAGCTTCTATGTGAAGCTTTGTGGATTTGAAAACTGCTATACTGAATATTTTATGATCTTGTCAAGGCCTCCCCTTATCATGTGACCTCAAGGCGCTACCATGGCTTTCATCTTGTGAAGTCTTGAACATTTGTAGTTGCAGAAAAACCTCAAGAGACTCAGTATTTCAAAAGCCATAGTTTAGGTTTTATTTTCTAGGCTGGGATGTTTGTGGGTTTTCTTATTATAAAATTAGAGTTGTCATAGTGATGTTGTGTATTTCAAACCAGATATTCTGTGGTCGCAGCAAAGTCTCACTTTAGGAAATGGATTTCTTTATGAATGTGCTAACATTGTGCACAGAAAGTAGCACAATACAGATAAACAGGCATCTTTGGTAGGTGGGGTGTTTGGGTAAATTTAAATTTCTGAGGATTGAACAAAAACTCCTTTACCTTAAGAACTGTGCAAGCACTTTGGGAGGCCGAGGCGGGCGGATCACGAGGTCAGGAGATCGAGACCATCCCGGCTAAAAAACGGTGAAACCCCGTCTCTACTAAAAATACAAAAAATTAGCCGGGCGTAGTGGCGGGCGCCTGTAGTCCCAGCTACTTGGGAGGCTGAGGCAGGAGAATGGCGTGAACCCGGGAGGCGGAGCTTGCAGTGAGCCGAGATCCCGCCACTGCACTCCAGCCTGGGCGACAGAGCGAGACTCCGTCTCAAAAAAAAAAAAAAAAAAAAAAAAAAAAAGAACTGTGCAAAATTGTCCTAAAAAAATTTAAGTAGTCTAGTCTCTAGATGTCCGTAGTTAACATAATTTTATTGTTCTCACTCATCCAGCTTTAGAACACATGGTTCCTGAATACAAGTCTCAGCTTTGACCTCAGTGCTTGTTAACCCAGTGCCTCAGCCCTTCTTAGACATGAATCAGAACCTTTGGTGGTAGAGCAGGAAATTGGCACTTTAGCACCCAGGGTGATTTTTATGCCTACTAAAGTGTGAGAACAACTGACTTTGAAGCTGTAGGTGTTTGGGTTGGTGGCGTATTTATCCCTAGAATTGCTCCGTGTAATTTGATGATGAGGACATCTTTCTGTTTCTTTCCTCCAAAATGGAAGGCAAACTAAATTAAAATCCAGTTAATTCAGGTTCTGAGTTGATTGGGACATGGATAATTGTGATCTTTTTGCTGATTTCTAAAATATTTTCCCTTCATTATCTGTTGGATTTCAAGTGCATTCTGCTCTGTGTTATAGAATGAGGGTTGATGTGAAACTTAGGGAGACTCCAATTATATACATGGTTCAATTACTGGTTCCATAATTTAGGGTGTCCTCTTTTCCCATTGACTTTCACTTTCTTCGTACTTAAATGGCAAGGTTGTACTCTCTGATCTCAGTGTTTCTTTCCATCTCTAGCATCTTATGATTTCCTTCTTTATTTTCTAACTTTTTCTCTTCCACCCTCAAAACATTTTCTCCATGCATAGAACTAGAAAGGCCCTTTGAGATCATTTCATCTTAATCTCTCATTAGGCACGAGAGAAAATAAGCTGAGGAACAAATTGGAGATGCTGCTTTGAAAGAGCCCACATGAGAGCCTGGGGCTTCAGCTCTCACAGTAGAGCTCCTTGCACTGTGGCATGAATTGCTTATCGTATGTGGGGCTCCATTTCTTACATTCCAGCCCTGCCCGATAAGTATTTGGTACGGCAGCAGCAGAGGTTGCTCTCAACATTTGGACATTAGGAATTTAATGTGTTAGGATTGATTCATATGTGTCATCAAATTGTATCTGGGGACAGAGATTCTGGGGAGACTCACGTATGAGTTTGGCTGGCCACAAGTAAACCCCAGATGACTCTTGTTACTAATTCTAGAATACCCAAACAGCATATATTGTGAACTTTTTTGCAGTGTACTTGAAAGGGCATGACCTTTGCACTCCGAACTATGTTCAAATCCTGGTTTGGGAATTTATTAACTGTGGAACCCTAGGCAGGTTACCTTACCTCTCTGAGCCTTATCAACATAAAGGTTGTGAAATAACTAGTTTGTGGATTAAATACGATCTTACATGTAACGATTCCTGGAATTTAATGGGCACCAAGTAAATACCAGCTCATGGATCTTTCTTTACTTGTTGGTATTATTAGAGTTTGAAACTTTGCAAACTTGGGACACATACCAACAATTTGAAAATACAAAGGGGGTAATTTTAAGCTTCTTGCGATATCAGCTTTCAGCAATTTAAAAAGAAGGAACTGTTTTTTTTTTTTTTTTGGAAAATTAGGAAGTCAAAATGCCAGACTCATCTATAAATGCGAAGCTCTTTTTGAGCTTTTATAGTACGGGCTTATGACATCAGTAAGGATCCAGCCCCTTCATTATTGGAACCTGTCACAGACCAGGGCAGGAAACCTCTCCCTTATTGTGTCTCCACTTTTTCTTGTTCTCAGAGTTCCTTTAGAACATGTCCAGGGAACATTGCTGGATGTGCATTCTCAAAGCATGTTGCTGTACTCCATAAATGCTGATAAGCTTTTTCCCCAGACCAACAGAAGTCATATAAGTGAAAGGACAGAGAAGAAAATTTATCAAAGAAAGAGTGAGAAGAAGATTGACCCCCACCAGGAATGGAATTTTCTCTCTATAGCTTACTCCTCTTGATGAAGTATTAATTTTTAACAGGAATACGGATCACTTTTTTCCAGGTGTGAATTAGTTCCTATTGTGAAGTATTTGTCATTCCAAACCATTTTTGTTCTTATTGCTAGCTGTATGATTGCATGAATAATTAGTGCCCATGGAGTGCTTTAAGAGCCTAACCTTCCTGGAAAGACAGTGCTAGTGTAAAGGGTCTTATATATGAAACCATTATGGCACTGTTTAAGGCACTGGAAAGGTCCAGAATATTCTGTACCCATGAGAAAAAACTGGGCTAAAAAACAGAAAGTGAGTGCTAGGCTACTTCTTTTTAGTCCTCTTTCTATTTGATTCTTAGGGTTACAGAATATCAGGATTGTAATATTGCTTAAAGTTTATCTAACCATCAAGTACATGGATTCCTCTACAACAGTCCTGTACTACACACACACAGACACACACACACACGCACACACACAGGATTGGGGAGAAACACAGAGAAAGAGAGAAAGAAAATGAGAATGAATGAATTTATCAACTCTGCTTTACCGCCCAAGTGATGTATGGAATGTGACCCCAACATCTGTTACCCCATATATGGTCAAGATTGATTTTTGTTGGTTGGGTACCAGTCCCTCTTCTGCTCATTGCCATGTGTTTATTCCCCTCAACTGAACCATTCATCAGTTAAGGATATGTGTCCTACTCAAACCCCTTTTCTTTGAACCCACATCCATCTAATGTCTTTGTTCACATGTCAGACAGCTCCTCAAATAGTCAAAGGGAACTTGGCATTTTCCTTAATCGTCTCTTCTCCAGTTGAATTTTCCCAGATTCTTCATTCATTCCTTATTTTTGAGAATGACCAGCAAAACTAAAGGAATGGCTGTAGGTTCCTTCCATTATTTATATAATGCAGCTTTTCCATAGAGAAGCAATATTTATAAAGGACAAATAAAGACATGTCTGCAGAGACAGTGAAATTCTTAGAAAGTATGCTGTACTTGAAAGGCAAGACACAGAGGTTTTGAATGCAAGCTGTGATGAAACATTACCCAGGGCAGCGTCCTGTCTGTGTTAGAGTGGAGAAACAGAGTCATGGAGCCTCTTGGTCAAAGCGTCACTATGTCAATCTTGCAGAGCAGAACGGCTGTCAGGTTAACGAGTGCTGCATGTGCCCAGAGGCAGTTCTGAGCATGGTAGGACTACCCAGGTGAGGGCTCTTTACCTTTGTGAGTGGGGAGCTCCCATACCTCATCATGTTAAGCCAAGCTGATCTGGAAAGGGACACATTCCAGGGGAGAATCGGGATGCTTAATTGATTTACACCGTTGATGAAGCGCACAGGCATGAATTCTGGTTGCCTACCATCCCATATGGGGAGGAAAGCGTAAGTTGTAGAAGCCACCTTTTGGCATTAAAAAACAAAGGGCGCTGGAGTAACATAAGGATATATACTTAGCTTTTTCTTTTTAATGTATGAATGGAAAACACCTTTTATGCTTCAAATGTATATTTTAATAATAAAAATAGAACTATTGCCAAAATTCACTCCAGAAGGCAGCCTTTTTTCTTAAAGCACAAAGAGAAAGAGAGGAGAGATCAAGTGTCTTCTCTTTTCCATGATAATTGCTTGTAGTCCCTGCTAACTGGCCTTTTGACAGGGTCACTGGCAGAGCTTGTGGGCCCCCTTGGCGATGTTGGTTGGTGGGACAGAGTATGGGCCAGTGCCTCAGCAGGAATGGGGCAGAAAACAGTAGGCTGGTTCCCAGGCCTGTTTGCTCTGAGCACCAGCCAAGCCAGGGTTGGTTTTTGCTCACCTGTCATTGCAGCAATATGTAGTGACGTTTCAAACTGCTAGCATGGAAACAAGGTAAAAACTTCTTGGGACAACTGGGAAATTTCATTTAGACAGAATGTCAGACCTTAGCCTCCAGTGTAAATACTAGAGGCTTTGCTCTGTCCAGTTATGCAGTAGCATTTGGTGTGGAATTAAATCAGAGGCTAGTGAAAATCCAGGCAGGATCTAAATGTGTTGAGTACATTTAAGTTTCTTCTCTAATTTAGGAAACCTTATGCTTCTCCACCCTTTGGCACTGACAACTACCTGAAAGAGGCCCTAACAGTCTTGAATAGGAATATGATCGCTAGATTCTCTATCACAGAATAAAAAATGAAGAGCTTATAGGCTCTCTGATTTTTTTTAAGTGCTTTGGTCTTCAGAATCTGGCCCAGCACTAGTTGTTTTGATTTGCCCAGCAACCTAACCCATATTCTTGAATAAGCAAGCAGGATTTCAGCTCTAGAAGGGTGAGCTGCATATATTCACACACCATTCTATTCATTTTTCAGATACAGGATTTTTTAAAAAGGAGAGAGAACAGGGTCATTTTCATTCTATTGCAAACGCTTTTTATGTTTCAGGGATCAAATTATCAAATTTCAGGCAACTTTTTTTTTAAACTAGGTCATGACTTTCAAAGGCCATCTTTATTATCCTCAGCAGAAACATTAAACTTGTAAAAAAAAATTTATAATTTTTTTTCCTCTGGTGATTTTTTTTCTTTTATTTCCACCCCCACACATACAAAAAATGCTCGGGGAAAATGTTTGCCTTCACTTCCTGCTATTCAGCACTGTGTATTGTTAAACTGATGTAGTGTTTATACACATCGTGGTTATGGCTGTAGCCCGGCTATTGTTGAAGGATGTTAGACAGCCATTTATCACAGTACGCCAGTAAACCCATTGTAAAAATGTCCTACTAGTTAAATGAGGCTTAGATTTAATGAGGCTGTAAGAGCAGAACGGGATTTTGACATACTGTAAATAAGGTTCCTATAGAAATGTCATCAGGATTAAGGTGCAGATTCCTTTTGTTTTCAAGCAACAATAGTCTCCTTGCCAAGGTAAAAAGAAGCCCCCTCCCTTTTAAATGAATCTTTTGAGGAAGTTGTTGTTTGCTCAGAGGAATGCATGAAACAAGGGTGTGTGGCCAGGAGATGACAAGATCAGAGATGACTTCTTTGGGAAAGAGACGACACTCCCCAGAACTCCTTTGTATATCACAGCCACACCTGGAGCCCTCAAAGCCTCCTTGTTCATACCTGCTGCTGCATGTGAATGCCATTCAAATGTGGTCCCAGTCCCCTCCTCAAGGAGGGCAAAGCCAGCCTCAGAAAGACTTAGTCTGAGATTCCTGGCCAGCCTTTGAAGAGAGTAATCAAGTTAGACATAGCAGGAGGGCATTTGCCCTTTCAAGCCAAGTGGGGAAACAGAGCCAGTCTTCTTTGCTTGATCTTATCAGTGTTCAATGAGATCTACCATTTTGAAATCACAGAACAAACTGTAGAAAATGACCAGAAATTCTTGTGCATTCAATTTTCCCCATGGGAAGGAAAAATCAGTTATTTCCCCAATGTCTAAGGAAATGAATTCAGAGAGAACGTCTCCATACGCAGCCAGAAGTAGGTACGTAGGGCTTGGCGTTAACCACTGGGGTTGCAGTACACTATTTACAAAAACAGGCAGTCTTGAAATTGCCCTATTGGAGAGAAATTTGATTGTCCCAGAAATAAAATAAAGTGGTCTCCGTCTTCATTTTGCTAGGGCTCCTGGAAAGCCTCAATTCAAAGAGATCAGTGTTGAAAAAGACTAAATTGAAGGATAGCTTGAGAGCCAATAGATGATCTAGAGGCAACCCATCCACATCTGCAGTTTCCTTAGTATCTTTCTGAACCTGGAACGCTTTAGAGGTGTGGAGTCTTCTTCGACTGAGTCTTCAATTTGACATAACAGTGTATCCCTTTAGGCTTGAACCCCGAACTCACAAGGTCTTAGGGAATCTGTTGCTTCTATTTTGGTGGTCACCAGAGGCTTAATTTTAGCTGCTGAGAGATTAGTCTTTTATATTTATTTAATGTTCTCAGTGGGGGAAGAAAAGTTCAAGGGTTGTGTTTGCCTTCAATGCTCACTGCACATAACTCATTTTGCATCCTTGCAGCAAATGCCTGCTAACTTCATCAGGAAGTCACATTTGGGCAAGGTGCAGTATGTGCTGGGCATTCTTAGCTAGAAGGGCCCTTTCTGCAATGTCTCCATCTTTAGCTGCCCCCACCAAGGCTCTTTTTTTTTTCCCAGATCCCTCTTTTGCTGTAAGTTTCCACCATCCTTTTTGCAGAGCCACGTAGAATAATGTTGGCAGAGAAACTTAGCGATGCTCTCTTAGCTCTTTTATCCTAATAGTGGTTTCTGTATCCTCACACTGCTAGACAGAATATCTTTCTCAAGACAACCAAAGGCAGCTTTTTCAAGAAAAGGATACAGATCTGGATGCACAACAGTGAATCAGGCATAATCCTGCCACTCCAGAGCTCATGAACCAGTGCAGTCATTCTCAAGCTTTAGCGTGTGCAGTACATACCTTACCCCCAGAGGTGTGACTTAGTAAGTTCGAGTTGGACCCCAAAATCTTCATTTCTCACAAACACTGCAGTGATTTTGATGCGAAAAACCTCAAGAGAAATACTGATGTAG
This sequence comes from Homo sapiens, assembly GCF_000001405.40. Taxonomy (NCBI): domain Eukaryota; kingdom Metazoa; phylum Chordata; class Mammalia; order Primates; family Hominidae; genus Homo; species Homo sapiens. The sequence continues at coordinate 30,452,483 of NC_000011.10, read as the reverse complement.
TGAGGCAGAGGGAACACAGAAACATCATGAATTACAAAACTGCAGGAACCGCCTGAAGGAAAGTCAGAGTGCTGTGGGAATGGAGAAGGTATGGGTGCCACAGGATGGGCCTGGGCAGGGCCCACAGACACGATCGTGTTTAAGCCAGATCTTGAAGGATGACTCAACTGTGGACCCTTGGCAGTGCTAGAGGGAAGGCCTTCTGAACAGGAAACAAGATCAAGGTGACTGAGGTGAAAGGGGAAAGGGCACATAGGGGTCAGTGCAGCCAGAGTGCTGGGTGCAGGGAGGATTCTGTTTGGAGCTCAAGAATTTGGAGTTTAGTCTTAGGCAGTGAGAAGCCCTTGAAGATTTTTAAGTAGAGAAGAGAAATAATCTGCTTTCTGCTTTCTTTCCACAGTGACCACAAGTGAAGCTGAGGTGGCTTTGGGCAGCATTAAGTGAACAAAAAGGGCAAAATGAGAAGAGGCAGGAAATGGGAATCGTTTTACGGCTCCCTCCTACTTCCCACATTTCTTTGAGGCCGAATTAATTGGTGTGATTCCATTCTCAATTTAAGAAATCAAGGTTAAATGACTTGCCCACAATTGCATTGAGCTGGAACTAGGGCATAGGTCTGCTGTCTCCAGATCTCCAGCTGACTTCCCACCGCAGCCTGTCAGTCAGTGAAATTAATCTGCAGTCATTCGCAGACACCTGAAAATGTCCCCTCCCACCCCTCAAATTGCATAATAATGAGTCCTACAGCAGAAAACAGTTGTATTCTTTCAAAAGTTTCTCTAATGTTTTTGAAATACACAAGGAAATAGTAAAAGTTAAGTGAACATTTGAAATACAGGCTTCTTTTATCATTAAAATAACGTCTCCCATGGAGTGAGAGTGAGGGTGGTAGTGGTGGGGTTCCTGAGATTCCAAATAGATTGTACTTCTGGCCCTAAAGATTCCTTATTAGCAAAATCTTTGAATCAGCCAGGTTTGAATGATAAATAAGAGGACACTGGGCATTTGGAATCTTCATTATCTATCATAACAAATATTGCCTCTGGCAAAGACCACATCCCTCAGTCTGAGCTCTCACTTCAAACTGCAGGGGGGCCAGGTTAGCAGTGGGAATTGCATTTCTAAGTCTTGACAGCCAAGGTCCTTAGACAAGAGGGGCCTAAGCTTTGTGACATCTAATCCTCGAATGTAACAAAAGCAGCTAAAAGGTGAAGAAGGGAAGCCCAAAAGGAGAAAAAAATAAGGGGGTGAGATACAGCTTCACATTGAGTTTCAAAGCTGGAAGACAGCTTATAGATCATGTAGTCAAAGTCCCCATCCTCATCTTTACAGAGAAAGAAGTCTAGTCCCAGAGAGGGGAACCGATTTGCCCAGACCCCTACAGCTAGTTAGGGGTGACGCTAGCATGAAGAAGCCACGTGGCTCTTGTCACCACACCAAGCTGTTGCTCTCATGTCTCATGATACAATTGTGCTCACAGATTATTTCCCATGGATCCACTGGGATAGTTTATGAATCCTTTAAATGCAAAAATTAAATAATACTGGGAAGCCAGAGAGCCTATGAGATCGGGTTCAGTATTTTTACTGTTTACTGGCTGTGTGGCCCTGAGCCAGATCTCCTCTGAGCTTATTACTTCTTCTGAAAAAGGGGGCTAATAATCTATCTGTACCCGATACAGAGTTTCTCTGAGGTTAAAATGTGTCATTTAATGTGGAAATGCTGTACAAACTGGAAAACTCCACTAAAACATATGCTGTTAAACTCTTAAATATAAAACTTGGGTGCTGAACAGGCCCCTAGGAAGTTCACATATGCAGCTATTATTTTTCTGTGAATTTGTTTATAGGGTGTTTAGAAGCACCTAGGAGTGGCCATATTGCTTATCCTATGAATGCAGGTTTTGGAACCAGAGTCAGCTATTGTCAAAAATCCCAGTTCCCCCATTTGCTCAATTCTGGTTATCAGTGGTTTACTTCACTTCTCCAAGTTGAGATCTTCATCTGTAAAATGAGACCAATAACTGCATCTAATTTATAGGAGAGTTGTGAGAATCAATGAGATAATATATACAAATTACTCTGTGTCACACCTGAAATAAAGGAATAACTTATACACAATGTCTATTTTTACTCATTTTGCTTTAGTTGTTGTCTTTATTATTCTGATATAGACAAGGAGTAGGACTCTTGGAACCCCATGAGGGCGGGTTTTAGGCTCTTTGATTAACCACTGCATCTTCAGGTCTGACAAGGCCTGGCAGTAGCAGATGCTCAATTAATATTTTGGAAAAAAGTAATGAGTTCATATTGTAGGGGAATAAAGAAGGGGGAAAAAAGACCCTTTCCTCTACCCTCTTATGTTTTGTGGCTGGCGCCTGTGAATTCAAAAGACACTAGAAAGGTTAGTAGGAGAAAAAACATACAGATTTAATTGATATTTTTAATTTTACATGCACAGGGGCTCCACAGAAAATTGAAAACCAAAAAAAGTGGTTTTGGGGGGCTTATACCATTGAACAAATGGCAGTAAATTGTGGAGATATGACTAGACAGAGGAAAGGGGGTTTGGGCATCTAGGGCAGATGAATTGTGAGAACATGACTTGGAAATTTTGGGGGAAACTAATGGAAGAGAAGGGTAATTTTAGTAAGGTCTGTTTAAGCAGACTTATCTTGGTGCTGGCTCCTCACTTCTCATGATAGGGTATCTCTCTTTATCTTGGTTTAGGAGGAAGGGAAATTTATACCACCATCACAAATGGAAGTTTATGCCCTGTTTTTAGGCAGAAAAGGGGAGAACAGATAACTTTTCCTGTATCTGCTGATTCTTTCTTTTTTTATTGAAACAAGGTTTTCCTCTGTCTCAGGCTGGAGTGCAGTGGCATGATCATAGCTCACTGCAGCCTCTACTTCCCGGGCTCAGGTAGTCCTCCCACTTCAGCCTTCCAGGTAGCTGGGACTCAGGCGCACGCCACCACACCCTAATTTTTGTGTAGAGACAGGGTTTTGCCATGTTGTCTCAGCTGGTCTCTGGTCTTCAACTCCTGGGCTCAAGTAATCTGTTTACCTCAGCCTCCCAAAGGGCTGGGATTCCAGGTGTGAGCCACTGCACCTGTCCTATCTGTTGATTCTCCGTTGCTTTCAGCTCAAAAATACTCCTTATGACAAAGCGGCATAGTTGGGGGTGGCATATCCTGGACTCCTTCAATATATAAACACAGCAGAACTTTAACATTTATGACATCCTGATTAATGTAATTTTTAGCTATACATAGGGGCATTCATTCATTCATTCATTCTCTTAACATTTACTGAGCAACTACCATGTTCCAGGCACTGTGTTTGATAGTGGATATAGATTAAGGAATAAAATAGACACAATCCCTGCTGTGGTAAACTTAAAATCTAGTAGAAGAGACTAAAAAACAGGCAAGTAAACAGATGACTAAAACAAAATAATCCAGAGTTATGAATTATGGTAAGTACTATGAAGGAAACATACAGCATGTGGTTAAAAATAGTGGGGAGTGGCCGGGGGTGGTGGCTCACGCCTGTAATCCCAGCACTTTGGGAGGCCGAGGCAGGCAGATCACCTGAGGTCGGGAGTTCGAGATCCTGACCAACATGGAGAAACCCCGTCTCTACTAAAAATACAAAATTAGCCAGGCGTGGTGGTGCTACTCAGGAGGCTGGGGCAGGAGAATCACTTGAACCCGGGAGGCGGAGGTTGCGGTGAGCCAAGATCATGCCATTGCACTCTAGCCTGGGTGACAGAGTGAGACTGTCTCAAAAAAAAAAAATAGTGGGGAGTGCTTCTCTGAGATTTCAAGAAAGGCCTTCTAAACATAAAAATGTTAATCCTTTGCCTTTCATCCTTGTAGAATAAAGTTATCATAAAAAGCCCATTTCCTTGTAGGTCAAAATAGACTTATAGCAGTAACCTCCTGAATGGCAGTTGTAAGGATAGATGTGATAAAGCCGTAACACTTTAGTGTGTAGCAGGATAATCTGTGGAACCCGTGTAACAATCAGAAGCCTGGGCTTCAGACCATAGATAGGGAGTGAGGCTTCTAGGTGGGACCCTGGCAAGGGTGTGTTTGTGGAACTCATCAGGTGCTCCTGCTGCAGGCTCAAGTCTGAGCGCCCAGTTCAATCCAGGGAGCTGTTGATTTCTTGGCTGGTTGACTTTGCTGAACATCATGGCTCCCTCCCCACAACAGGGATGTTGCTGTTGAAAGCATGACATGCGTAGGGTTTGATGTGAGTGACATCAAGATGTCCTTTAGTATTCCATTGCAAACCCTTTCCCCTCTTAGGAAAATGATGCCCTTGTGATTTGACTCATTCTCCCCCAAGAAATGATGCTCATTCACGTCTGAAAAAATACCCCCTGTATAGTAAATGGTGACAACAGACAGGGATTTCCCTCATCTTAAGCCAGGGCTTCTCTCTGAAAACATCTCAGAGTGGGCTTCAGTTTTGTAAACTCCCTGAAATTGTAGGTAAATTGTGTGTCCTTGGTGTAAATATGAATTTTATCTTTCGAGGGTCTATAGCTTTCTTCACATTCTTAAGGGGATCTGCTCCCTAAGATCATAAATGTAGTACTGGATGGTAGGGTGACGTCTCGTGGATCCTTGTATCTCCAGCACCTAGGGCAGGGACTCACGAAACCTCTCAGGAAATACCGGTTGATTGAAGTAAAGATTCATTCTGAAGCAGACCCCTCTAGCTATCAGCAAAGGACAAAATCCACACTCGGCCTTTCTTACTTGCCCCTGTTTAACTGCGCAAACTCTTGTTTGCTGTGCCACTCTCTTTCGTATGCCCGTTTGCACCTGGCTTCCTATTTATCAGCTATCAATATCCAGCGAGTGCTGGCTCTTGTCAGTCTAATTTCTGGTTGCTGCCGCTTCTTGACACCCCACACTTTATCACCCACACACTGCTCGGCTCCTATTACAACTGGTCTCAGCATTGCTAATAAACAGCAACACCAAAGCCATATTTTCTGGTCCCTGTCAGGCCACTGCTTTCCTGGGTGAAATAAAAGTCCTATTAACATGCTCCTCCTCATTGCCTCTGACAGATTGATTAATTAGGCCTCCTCTTTAGATGACCTCTGCACTGACACGACAAGGAGGTGGATATAAAATGAATAGTTTGCCCATATAATGGGCTACTGTGGGTTTGGGGTTTTTATCAAATCAGACTGTCGGAAGTTACGAACTTGTATGAAATTCCATGGCTTGCAGCAGCAGCAGCCTAGGATGGCTTTTGGTCCAGTGGAATCTGTCACATACAGATAGGACTTGAATGCCAGGCACTGCGGGGCAGGGGAGAACCCACCTGACAAACAGCCGCCTGTCTACCTGAATGATCTCTCGTTTATGCAGCCCAGTTCATAGAGTGCAAATCTAATGTTCTTTTAATGTTATCAAATAAAATCACCTTTTGTTTTCCACAGCTTTTCTTTCCCTCCATCCCTCCTTCCCTGCTAGAACACCCAATACGTTAACTTTGTGGTTGCTTTGCCTCTCAGAACGCTAATGCAAAACCATTACAAAAGAGCACTTGAGTTAAATGTCCACATTTCCATTATAAGTTGTTGTTTTCAGAGAAATCGGTAACTTGGACATAAAAAGTCATTTTAGACTGGGACTTGGCGTCGGGGGGGGCTCCGACAGTCTTGGCAAACAAATTAGGCTGCTTGCTTTCCATTAAGAGAGTGTGGATTCCGAGGGGTGCTCGTTGGCTGCCTTTGCTGTTATGCACTTCTTTAGTGAGGGAATGGCTTGGGAAGCCATTAACCAGATTGAAATATACAAGGAGCTCTCTAATTGCTTTACTGAGCAGGCTCTGTAGATATTTAAAATCCTGCCTACAAAGAAGAATAAAACAGCCTTGCAGAGCATGGAGGCTGCAGCAAGCGAACACACATGGACAAAGATGCCCAGAGATGGAAGGCTGTTTCTTCTGCTTACTTGTATTGTTTTTTTTTTCCCTTTGGAGTGAGTTAATTTATTATTTTAAAGCATGCCTACTAACATCTGGCACTTTTAGAAACATGCCATTCTATTACAGTGTCTTCCTCCAAAGAAAAATAATTTCAGTGATGCCAAGATCAAGCCGGTGAATTCTTAGCAGAGCTTGGTACTTGCTAGGTGCTCAATAAGTGGTAGGCAGGCTGAGCTGAATGATGAGTCTTTTCAGGAGAAATTCTCAATGGGTGAAACCCTAGAAAGAGAGTAGGAGAGGGGACTTGCCAGTCTCCTCTAACCGCACACAGAATTCCCAGGGCCTGGAAGGAACTCATAGCCTTTGACTTTGCCTGCAAAGCTATTCATTTTATATTGGTCTAAATTTGGGCTGAGTTTGCAGCTATCTGCAACCAAGTGAGTGAAATACTGGGTGGTCCATGGAGAAATGATGGTATTAGAAACAGGACCCTCAAGAACGTACACATGTACACATGCCACTGTCACCACTTTAGAGATGGTAATAGTGACACTAGGGAAGAGAGTAGTTGCTTAAAGACTGCATGAACTTGAACGGATATTTGTATAGCCAGGTTCATAGCAGCATTATTCCCAATAGCCAAAAGGTGGAAGCACCTCAAGTGTCCACTGACAGGTGAATGAATAAACAAAACATAGATACCTAAAATGGAATATTAATCAGCCTTAAAACAGAAGGAAATCCTAACACATACTACTACATGGATGAGCCTTGAAGACATTATGCTAAGTGAGGTAAGCCAGACACAAAAGAACGTATATTGTATTATTCCACTTGTATGAGGTACTTAGAGTGGTCAAATTCATAAAGATGGAAAGTAGAATGGCAGTTGCCAGGGGCTAGGGGTGAAGGGGGTTATCATTTAATGCGTAGTTTCGGTTTGGGAAGATGAACAAATTTTGAAGATGGTTGGTAGTGATAGTTGCACAATAATGTGAGTATACTTAATGCCACTGAACTACACTAAAAATGGTTAAAATGATAAATTATTTGTTATGCATATTTTACCATAATTAAGAAAAAAGGTTACACTAATTAGTGACAACTAGACTGGAATGCAAATCCCTTGAATACCAGTCTAACAATAGAATGGAAAGATGTTTGGTCTGGGAGTCAGCAGGCATGGAATTTAGTTCCTTTGTATTAGTCGAAGGTCTTCAACAAATCATGTTAGCCCTTTGAGCCTTGTTTTCCATTTATAAGAGAGGGTTGAACAACATTCCAGCTCTGCCAGTCTTACATACCCAGAGCCCTTCCTCAGCCCGGGGAGTCTCCTAGTGGACATTGTCCTGAAGCCAGCCTGGATTTTGCTCTCTTTATTTTTTTTTCTTTGTCACAGGTCATTCAGGCAATGACTGCATACCTAGACTAGGTGTTGTCAGGGGAAAGGAGTGAAAGAGAAGATGGAAGCTTTAAAGGAACTGTTCATCTCTCCCAAACTTAATTTCACAATTCCCAAAGAGGAAAAGAAATTAATGTATTTGCTGTTAAGAAATTGCCATATGTCCTGTTCTTTTATCCCAATGTGGATGATCATTGACTCCCAGAAATCCCTGAGAAATAAATCGGAGAATATGCTGAAATTTATTTAATTAAGGTAGTGCAGGGGCTGGTTCCATATTAAACATGGTGATGGGGATTTAAGATAATAATGCTACCATCAGTACATCTAAAATTGTTTAATGTTTTACTGCAAATATTTTTTAGCTAGAAGAAATTAAACAAGTGGGGAAGATTCTCAGAAACCAACACAGCCCAAAATGTGCAGATAAAGAACCAAAAAATAACGTAGAAAGGAGCAAGATTATAATAAATATTTTTAATGAGTTAATTTATTTCCTCTTTTTAAGTCTTAACTTGTAACATTATTTGAAATCACAGTAAATGTACATTTTATTTCTTGTTTCAGCCCTGAGGTGAGTTTATTTGGAATGTTTGTTTTAAATGGATTTAGCCATCATGGAATTAGGTCATCTTGGAAAAATGTGTTTTTTCTAAAAAAAAAAAAAAAAAATAGAATGATGTTCTGTGTGTTTGAGAGTAATTTAGAAACCACTGTTAATTTCCAGTCCTGTTATGGACTCCTTCTTCAGGAAGGTAAGTGCTTTTGATGTGTTTGAAGCATTTTGTGAGACAAGCAAAACAATTTGGAGCAATTGAAAGTGACAACCCTGCCCCGAGCACATGGCTTCATTTTCATTACGTTATAACGCAGGTGGAATGCAGATCATGCCGGGTCAGTTCTCTCTCTCAGTATCATTTATTCTACCTTTCTGTGCCTTAAGAGCAAACTTTTCACTTAACACAAGGATGCTATCCATTTGGCTTCTTTTTTGCTTTTCCAGTGAATAGCCATTTGCTTATCGACTTGTTTTTGAACTTACTATAATAAGCTTTAGTCAATTTTCTTTTAAAATAATTTTTTGGCTTTAACTCTTGTGAGATAGCAATAACACAAAAAAGACATTTATTTTGCTTTGAAACTAGTGCTTTTTCCAGAAGGTCTTGTATCCCTTAACAATTTGCATTCATCCATTCATCAAATGTGGATTGAGGGCAATGTACTGTTCCAAGCCTCGGATTACTATGGAGAAGCATAAGGTGGGTTCATCTCTGCTTAAGATGAGTTTGTTGTTTCGTTATGCAGTCATTCGTATGGTGAGAACTGTCAGTAATTCATACTATCTTCAAGTAAACACAAAAATCCATCACGCTAGTTACTGGTCATCCTCTTAGGATAGAAGATGGTGGGGGAGATGAGTATTTATTATCTCCACCTGCCTACAAAGTGTTTCTCATTCCCTGAGTTCATTCTACAGAGCCATGATTTGAACCCAGGTCCTTACTACTGCAATCTGGATACTTTCCAATTACCATGACATCTTTTGGATTATTTAGTCTATCACTTGTCTGCTTTCACTCCCCACCCTCCCACCTGCAATCCCTGCCCCGTCTTCTCTCTTTCTCTCCCTCCCCTCCTACAATGAGAAAGTGATATATAAGGAAGACAATGAGACAAAAGCCTGACCCTGAAGTCAGACAGACCAGAGCTTGACTCCCATCTGTGCTGGGTGACCTTGGATAAGTTATCTAACTTTACTAAACCCCAGGTGCCTCCACTGAAAACAGAAGATACTGATACTTCAGTAATAATAATAAGCTCTGACACTTAAAGAATTCTGTCCAATGCCTGACGTGGAGCAAGCAGTAAGCCTCAGTTAGTGTTAACTGCTATTATGTTTACGATCTTCCCATCATAAATGCTTTATTTATTTATTATTTTTTTAAAGTAGCATTTCCCACTAGGTTCCCAGCAGAGTGGATGGAGAAGCAGGTGTGGAGGATTGGTTTCAGGAGTCTGTGTGTCTATGAGCAGAGAAAGTATAAATTTATATTGTGTCTGAAGAATTTCTTATGTGACTTGATTAAAAAAAGATAAGGATGAAAGCTTAATGACAATATTTTTTTTTCCTTGAGACAGGATTTTGCTGTCGACCAGGCTGGCGTGCAGTGGTGTGATCATAGCTCGCTACTGCCTCAAACTCCTGGCCCAAGCAGGAGTAGCTGGAGCTACAGGCTCAAGCCACCATACCCAGTTAATTTTTTAAAACAATTTTTGTAGAATTGGGATCTGTTTATGTTCCCCAGCTTGGCCTCCAACTCCCGAGCTCAAGCTATCCTCCTCCTTCAGCCTCCCAAAGTATTGGGATTATAGGTGTGAGTCACCGTGCCTGGCTTAATGGTGATAACTTTTTTTTGAAAAGAGCCCCAACTGATACCTAGTTGAAATGTTACCTATAATGTGATATTTTCTGGGACTCTCCCAGGTGGAGTTGGTCACTCTAGCCTCTGTGTCACTGTAGCCACTGTTCGATAGCTATACACAGTGAATGCTCAGTAATATTTGTTATGTGGCTGAATGAGTGAAATAATAAGTGAATGACAACACATCACTTTATTTTAAAATATTTTCACATTTGGTTCCCTGATCAGACCTTGATATGGTTGGATCTGGAAAGGAGTCTTGTCTCTCCCGTTTTCCCTGCTGTCCTGACATACTTTTTCACACATAGTGGGCAATCAGCAAAGCTTCCCCTATTGCTTTTTGTAGACTCTTTCCTATTAGAGACATGTCTCCAAACATTCACAGATTTTATTTGACTAAATACTCACATGTAGATCTAATTAGTTGGGCTCTATTTCTCTGTTCTCTAAAAGACTCCCTGAGTATTTCAGTCTGGAGACCACTCTTCTATCTTTTTCTCCTTCCGGAGTTTCAGAATTTTCTTCTTAAACTGCCATCTTTGGGAGTTCTTCTCTGTTCTTCTTCACATTCTTCCCACCTTCTTTCCAACAGTTTTTGCATTTTATCTTAAACGATGTGTCTTGAAAAGATACAAAATGCTCCTTCTGGCCATCTCTGAGCCAGTTTTACTATGAGCCAGAGATCAACAAACTGAACTTTTTATTTTACATCTTCTGCATGCCAGGCACTGAGTTAGGCTGTAAGGATACAGTGGTAAACAAGACAGGGTTCTGCCGCATGGAACTTACACTCCTGTGAAGGAGCAGTTTCATGGGTTGTGAATAAGAGTTTCAGAGGGATAAATCAGGAATAAGAAGCAGCCTAACCTAGCCTGGGGAATGGGCTGTGACAACTGTGATGAGGCCTCAGCACTTGTTCCCACTGGGAATCAGGAATGGGGAAACCTATGCAAAAAAAAAGGGGCAAGAGAATGAAGGCTGTCATGCTGGAAAAGCTGAGGCCGAAGCTTTAGAAATGTTTCCTACTTTCAGAGTTGGGATTGAATTAAAGGACAAAGTGGGAGAGAAATATGAGCCTAAACCACAGAATCACAGATCTTTTGCCAGGCTCCTGGAATAGGGGGGCATCTTTTGGATCCATAATTAAGTCACTACCACAAGATTATTGTCAATTGTTAGTATTTCATACATTACAGATGTTTCTAAGTGATTGGTTTCATGGAAGGGGATTGTGGCAGACGTTGTTTAAAAATATGACCTCTCACTTGTTCCATTTCTGATTTTCCACATAGAACAGATGATCTTGATTGTGTCATGGTCAACCCAGAATTATGACAGTCTGGGAAGATTAGGAGGAGAATAAACTGCTACTTAAACCTTTTCTCAGCAGCATTGGAAAGCATGTGTTTCCAGCAATAACTCCTGGGAACTATTTGGTCAGTATATGCTTCAGCTGTAATTAAAAGGGCATTTCCTTGGTTTTAATTTCTTTTAATTAATTAAAAAATATGCCGTCTGTGTAGGGGGAGTTATAGTCCCTTCCTAGATGTGGAAAAATGTGATTTCTGAGACCAAAAAGCAGTATTTCCAAAAGAGTGTTCTGAAGACCACTAGTTCTGCTCGGTAACCCAGAGAATGGATTGGTTTGAGATTTGCTGCTCACTCTGTCCTCTTGGAGATTCACGAGTTTGTCAATGTACTAAAGGCTCTGAGAAGTCCTGCAGTAAAGACACCTCTTTAACTCAGCATTTCACATATATGTTTGAGCAAAGCACCCGTTTTTAAGCCCAGACATATTACGATTCCACAGAACACACTTTGGGAAACATGGTAGTAATGGTATTTCTTAGCGTCCTCTGCATGCATCATTGTGGTAACTCTGAGCTGATAGGACTTAGAAGCAGTCATGCCTCATGCAGAAGTCAAAGGAGAGGCCTCAGCCAGATTTAGTGGCAGCTCCGATTGTTTATTGAGTGAAATGAACGTGTCAGCAGTAGACTGCAGTGGAAAAAACACTGGGCTTGGAGTCAGATGGTCAGAACCTATTCTTGGCCTGGCACTACCAGTTTTGCTGCCTTGAGTAAAGAGGTTAACCTCATTGAGCTTCTCTTTTCTCTGTAAAATGGCTATTACCTGCCCTACAGCTGCCCTAATAACCATCATTCATTCAGTGCTCCAGAGTCCAGAACAGGGGTCAGCAAATGTTTTCTGTAAAGGACTAGAAGGTGTAATAAATATCTTAGACTTTACGGCCCATATGGTCTCTGTCATGGCTACTCACCTCTGCCATTGCGGTGTGGAAGCAGTTGTAGATGATATGCAAATGAATAGGTATAGCTGTGTCCCAGTAAAACTTTTTTTTTTTTTTTGGAGACGGAGTCTCACGCTGTCACCCAGGCTGGAGTGCAGTGGCGCGACCTCGGCTCACTGCAACCTCCGCCTCCCGGATTCAAGCAATTCTCCTGCCCGAGCCTCCTGAGTAGCTGGGATTACAGGCATCTGCCACCACGCCCGGCTAGTTTTTGTATTTTTAGTAGAGACGGGGTTTCACCATGTTGGCCAGGCTGGTCTTGAACTCCTGACCTCAGGTAATCCCCCCGCCTCAGCCTCCCAAAGTGCTGGAATTATAGGTGTGAGCCACCATACCCAGCCCCAGTAAAAGTTTATTTATAAAAACAACAAGAGAGATTTGGCCCACGGGCCATAGCTTGCTAATTCCTGATCTAACGTATGTCAAGGTCTTTACCTATATTACTGCTAATTCTGCCTGTAGGATTAACAGAACACCTAGATTTATACCAGAGAAAACTGAGACACAGAGATGTTAAGTAACTTGCTTAAGGCAATATAGTTAATAAGTAGGTCTAAGAATTGTGCTCTTAGCTACCATACTGAACTCCCTTCTCTTATGACATCAAAAAACAGGTTACAAATTACAAAGGTAAATAAATGTAGATAGGATGTAGTATTATCTGAGGAAGTTCTCGTTTACTTGGGCTATAGGAGGCAATTCATGAGAAGAAGCATGTATTATATAGTATGCTTACTATGCCCTTTTGTCTCCACTGCCACTTCTGTACTATGCTTTACCTTCTCCTCACTCAGCAATGACTGGGGTTTCTAGGGCACCGTAATTCAAAGAAATTGCCTTTTTCTGAAAATTACCAAAATCCACTAGCAGCCTATTGAACATAATAGTGACACTGCAAATGTGCCCGAACCTTCAGACATTAAGGTGCCAGGATGCTGTAGACTTGAGTGTGTAATAGGAAACATCTGAGTCTACAGTTCCAGCAAATGTAGACTATTTCTTAATAAAAAATAACCCTGTGTACATCCACTTAGGTTTTACTTCCTAAGTGGAGTAAAACTAGCCCTAGAGTCAAGTTTGAAATTATTTTCATAATTTTGGGTAATTAAGACACTTCCCAGATCTCATTAGCAAATGCCTAAAATAGAATAATTGCCATATAATTAGTGACTGGCAAACTTTTAGAGGTTTGAAGGTTTTGTTCTTTTCTGAATTTGGAAGTACAAGGGCCTAATCTTGAATTTATCAGAACCCAGGAAACTTCGTAACTAGACTCCATTCCTTTCCCAATTCATTTGTTTTAGTCCTACCTGTCTTCTTCCACCAAATTCCACATCTTTCTATGAGTTTCTTGTAAGCATTTTGTCTTCTTCTATTTAGATATTTCTCCTTGGCTGGAGTCTTGTACTTTAACAACTATTTAGCATGTTCCTTCTCTGAGTCTGACACTGAGCCAAATGCTAAGGGGAAGATGGTATCTCTGCCTGCTAGGAGCTTATAGTCTAGTTAAGATATGATTTCATGATAACAGCCAAAGAAGAGATAGGGTGGCAGATGATTCACTTAAGTCTGCTGTGCTCTGAGATTTAGAGTTAGGGCATCCTACTCTTCTCTAGCACTTTAATTGCTTTTTAGGGCTGCCCTTATTATCTTCATTGATCTCAAAATAATTCTGGCAGGTAGTACAGATAGGATCGAGAATAGTAATGTCTTTCACCTAAAGAAGCTGAAGCTCAGAAGAGTTTGGCAATTTGTCTAAGGTTATGCAGTTATGTATGGGTTTAAAAAATAATAGCAGGTCTTCTGCCCCCTGGCCCCGCCTATTTTTTACCATGATGCATCAGCACATGGCACATAGATTCCCAAGTGTCTCACCCCATTATCTTGTCAAGGGAAAGAGTGTAAATGTTGAAGTTGGACAACTTTGCATCCAAAACCTAGCTCAGCCACTTTGGTTTGACCGTTAGGTCAGTAATTTAACTTAAACCTTCTTATTCCTATTCTTCATAGGTAATTTGAGACTGCAATAAGTCAATTGCAGGACTGTGGCAGGGATTAACTAGAGGACAAATGTGAAAGTACCTAATAGGATAAATGAAATAATAAATGGAAGCTCTTATAAATGAGTATATCACTCCATGCTCACTCACCACACTTCTTCTCAAGTCTCTCTCCTTTACTGGATCATGAACTCCTTGAGAAAAAGAGTCATTTCTTGGTCATCTCTGACACATAGTAGGGCTCAATATACTTTGTTCATTTAATAAACACCTAGCGCTTATGGTGTGTCAGGCACCATTCTAAGTGCTTTGCGTATTTTAACTGAGCTTTATTATAATCCCTTGAAGTGGAAGAACTACTATTATACCCATTATGCAGATTAGGAAACTGAGGCCCAGGAAGATATGCCAGAGTTCACCCAACTATTAAGTGGTGGAATTAGGACTCAAACCCAATTGTCTGGCTCCAGAGTCTATGCTGTTACTCATCCTGGGCTGCTATCAGTTGGACTGGGTTAGGTTGTTCAGGCCCCATCAGCTTTGCTTCCCCCGAGATTCCTGCTCCTTGGCTCTGGAGGCACATTTTGTTAACAAGTCGGGATTCTTTGGTGAGGTCAGATTTCTTCTATCTGCCTCCCTTTTACTGCTCTTGATTTTCCAGGGTTAATAATTCAAGATGATAGCTGAACCATAGGACTAAATTTCAAAGCACAGAGTCTAGAGGTGTTTTAAATGAAGAGGGAAGGTTGTGCAAAAGTCAACTGGGTAGAGGAAGGCTGGCGACTAGATTTAGGCTAGTATTCAGATAAGTGTGGATCCAGAAGAGCCCCAGCTCAGAGTCATGCCTAGGTGACAAGCCAGGTTTTTATTCTCCTAACAGGAAAGGACTTACTTAGAAACAGAGAGTAGCCCCTTCCAAGTCTTCTTTGCCATTCTAGGGTTGAAATTTGATGGGGAAAATAGAAGCTTTCAGGTCTCACTTAAGAGTCAATGACAACACAAGGAAATCTGTCTCCCAGTCCCTTTTTCAGCTTCTAGTTCAGTTAACATACTTTTACGTATTTGCAAAGATGTGTAAGCTGTTTAATAGAATCATAGAAAAACCTAAATGAACAGGGAATGGGATGTATTAAAACAAACACAAGGGAGTTAAAAGAAAATTCATTCTGAGTTGTGGGTAGGTAACTTAGTGTTTAGGTCCCAGTTTTTTATTGCATCCTAATGCTTGAGCCCAGCGATGCTGAGGTAGGCCTGGTGATGACAATATTCATTAAAGTTAATTTCCTGATAGAGGCCACTTAAATCTGATTGTTGTTTTAATTTGTTTCACTGCTAATTTCCTTCGCTTAAATAGAGGAAGCTCTCTGCCCCTCCCACAGCCAGCCCAGGCAGTTTCAGGGAGGTGACAGCCATCACGGCATTCACCAACCAGAGAATGCCATCATGTCACACTCTTTAGGCAGGAGATGATGTCTTTATTTATCTCTAGAACCTAGAAGTTGCCTGATTTGGAAAATATAGGTGCTCACTTTCAAAGTCTAAAAGTATATTGCTTTATTGAATATGAAATCTCCTCCATTACTCAGCTAGACCTAAATCCATCTAGGACTTAATGGGAAAAATGTGAGTCCCAGCAGTGTCCAGGATTTTTGAATTATACATACTCATTTTGTTGTTTGAAGAACAAATATAAATACAGCACAGGCTAAAACATCAAAGCAGGAGAGAAAACTCCCACAGTAATAATAATAGCAAACAAAATGTTTATTAAATTCCAGGCTGTTCAAAGTCTTTTTCATCATGGACCTTGTGCGGTAGGTGCTTTTGTTATCTGCATTTTTACAGATGAGGAAGCTGATGCCTGGAGAGGTAAATGAAGCTAACAACGAGGATTTGAATTCAGGAGGGTTGCCTTAGACTCTGGCTCTTAACCCCGGCAACAGTGCTTCTTAAACTCTGGTCCCAAGACTGCAGCATCTGCATCTCTTGAGACCTTGTTAGAAGTGCAAGTTCTTTGGCTCCATCCTATAGCCACAGAACCTTGGAGTGGCTTCAAGTGACTGATGTCTAAAGTTTGAGAAACATTGCATTACAGGATGCTACTTTTCCAGACTTGGTTCTTACATTCCATAAATATTTATCAAGTACTCAATAAGTGGCAGGGACTATTGGAGATACAGCAAAAGCAAAAATGCCTCCCCTCTGGCGGTTTACAGTTTAGAGAGTTTACAGACTCTAAAGAAAATTAAGTAATTCAAATACTAAAATACTAAGCTCTCTTATCTCAGGTTGGCAGATTACATTCTCAGTTAGTAAAAAAAAAAAAAAAAAAAAAAAAGATGCTAAACTTTAACACTAATAGCCAGAGGAAGGAACACCGCATAAAGGAGTTTAGAAGCTTACTTCAGGTGACACTACTGAGGTTGCAAACCCAGGTCTCTTGGTTCCTGATCTTAGCATCTCTCCTATGCTATGCTGAGCATGTTTTCCTCATCTCCTTTGCCCTGTAGCTTGTTAGGGGGAAAAAAACATGAGGTTTATAGACAGGCTGACCTGAGACCAAATCCCAGCTCTGCCACTTACTGATTTCATTGCACACAGATTGACATGAGGTTGGGGTTTGGGGGCAGAGTTGACAGTGGTTGGTAGAGGCAGAGCTGGAAATTCCAGTCCACAGTTCCTGCCAGCTCACAAAACTGGGAGAGATTCCAGTCTAGGGAAGGGATGTGAATGATGGGTGGTCAGGCTTTGTTGGTCCAGTGTCTGTCACTGCTCTTGGACTCACAAAACTTCCTGCTCTTCAACTTTGTGAGATTTTGAAACACAGTTTTCTCTCCTTCTCACTGCAGTATGCTTAGCCAGAGTCCTCAGAAGGAGCATAGATTTTGTGTGTGTATTAGATATGCTTCCAAATGTATAGCCACTGTGATCGAGTGTCACTGCCACTGGTTCAGAGTTTTCTGTTTCAGGGAAAGCCAGTAAAAACCTGACTTTTGGAAATTTCCGTTTATTGAAAAAGGCAGACAGCACCACTTTTGATAGTGTGCTTGTTAAAAGGCTTTAAGAAGAAGATATTTGACTGGCTAGCAGACATTTCACATAAGAGATGGTGTGTCACCAGATAAAGAGTAGAGGGGACTGGGGAGAATGGGATACCATGCAGTTATAACCCACTTTCCAGAGAACAGAATTCTGGTCCCTCGCCTTCTAAAACACTGGCAAAATAAGGAAGTAAGAAATGTGTTCTTTGCAGAACTAATAACTCAGAAAGCATACAAACAAGGGCCTGTTAGGAATGCACTCGCAAACTATGCTAATTCTGGTTTAACTCATGATTCTGACACATTGTCCTGGCCCCAGAGAAACTTGGGTAGCAAATTTGAAGGAGAAGAAGAAATATTGAAACTGGGGATTCTGAAGGCAACCAAATCTGAGTTTGGATCTCAACTTTACCAGTCAGATGCATGACCCTAATCGAGTGATTAAACACTGTGGACCTTTCCTCATTCGATCGTCTGTAAAACTGAAAAAAAAAAATTAGCACTTTATATCTTCCAGAGTTCTTGTGAAGCTAATGCATTGAAAGTACCCAGCAGATAACTGTACAATTGTTTCAGTGATGGTGAATAGCAACAAAACGGAAAGGTATCACTTACTGAGAGCTTCTTATGTGCCAGGTTGATCTAAGCATTTCATAGGTATCAATTTATTTAAATATCACTATTATTATTGGAGTTAGACTGTGTTATCTCCGTGTACTCTGGCAACTAGGAAGAGCTTTTAAATGTTTTTATGCAGAACTGGAAATGCACAAGCTTGTATTAATATGAAAATTGTGATTTAAATTAGAAAATTCTCAATATCTTAAATGAAAATTATTGCTCCAGGATGATAAACCAGGATGATCTGTGGATCCAGTTGTTACTTCCTGGGGGTAAACACACCATGGTTTGAGAATTACAGCCCTGCACTCCTCTTTTTATCTCACCTCTGCTGTTCAGGGGCTATTGTGGATGAGCTGGTGATGGTAAGAGGGGCAAGTGAGGAAGGGATATGCCCCATGACCTTGTCTCTTCCCCCTTCCCCTGCGAATTCTGGATCCCTGCCCACCTCCTCTTCAGCTCATCAGTAGTGACATGCCAATGTGGTAGGCAGCATAATGACCCTGCCCTAAAGATGTCCACATCCTAATCCCAGAAATATGTGAATGTTACCTTACATGGAAGAGAGGATTTTGCAGGTGTGATTAAATTAAGGGTCATGAGATGGGAAGATTATCTTGGATTAGTGGAGAGGGCTCAGTGTAATCACATGGGTCCCCACAACCGGGAGGCTGGAGGGTCAGAGTGAGAGTTGTGGCCACAGAAGCAGAAGTCAGAGTAATTTAGGGCCAGGAGCCAAGGAATGTGGGAAGCCTCTAGAAGCTGTAAAAGGCAAGGAATTAGATTCTCCCTCAGAGCTTCCAAAAGAAACCAGCCCTGCCAATACCTTGGTTTTAGTACAGTGAGACTAATTTTGGACTCCTGACTTTCAGAACTATAAGATAATAAATGTGGGTTGTTTTGTTACAGCAGCCATAGGAAACCAATATACTAGGATAGAGTAAGCCTAGATTTCCTCTGAAATGTGAACGAATTTTCTATCTATCTCTGTTGCAAAAGAGAGAAACTTTTATCCCTTTGAAAATTTCCCACTACAGCTTCAGAATAATCATGGGCTTGAGACATGATAGCGAGGGACCAATGTGAGAAAAGAAAGCAGTGACGGGGTGGACCTGCCCTTTGGATAATGTTTCCTAAAGTGACATTCAAGGAGATCGGCTTCCAGGGTTTATTCTGGCATGGTAGTTAAGCACATCTCCCTGTGACTTTGGAAATCTTTAGCCTCTTTTTGCCTCAGTTTCCTCATCTGTAAAATAAGGTTAATCACAGCATTCACCTCAAAGAGATGCTGTGTGTAATGTTTCATATAGTACATGCTACATGGCAAGCTTTATGTAAATGTTAGCTCTTATGAATAGCCATTATTTTAAAAAAGTGAAACAGAATTTATAGGGGGTCCAATATGTTTAGAACAGGATCCATTACATCAAACAGGCTTCTTTTCTGCAGGGTATCTCAGAATCTTTACTATGGTAATGTTCACTTTATACCTTAAAATTGGAGGGAAAATGCAGGAACATTTCTCAAACTTATTTAACCATAGAACCCTTTCTGATCTGTAACAATCTCAGCAAATCAGATTTATTGGTCATAGTATGAGAAACACTACCCTTAAAAGTTACACCAGGAAACCTTGGTTCACCTCTCTCCAACTCATAGTCCCTGTACCCAGCTTCTAGAGCCATCACCGAACTGGAGATTGGGGACCCCCATCAGAACAGTGCAAGGAGAAACATGTGCCTAGTATCAAAAGCTGAAGATTAGAGGCTTTTTTCCACGTTCACATTGTTCTAACATTGTATGTTATCATATCAGTTAGCTTGGCTCCTGGGGACTTGCCTGGGAACCTAGCATTGTTTCCATACCATGACACTTTAGCTCCAACCAGGCAACCTAGAAATAGTTTAGAATGTAATTCACAAGTTGGGGACCTGTACTTTAGCTTCAAAGTAATGCTGTTGATTTGTGAGCAGATAACCTAGAAATATATACATCAAAATGTTTATTTTACTCTTCAAATAAGCAATTTTCAAAAAAGAATTGTGTATTTTATAGGGTGGAAGTATAGCATCACTAAGTTGTATTCATTCTAGGGCGTATGTTTTTAAAAAAAAACTAGTGTCATTACTTTGCACAGGCATGCCTTGTGTAAATATAGGAAATCTAACTTCTGGGGAATTTCATTTCAAGAAATCAGACCTGGCTCACATAAAGATACCTTTCAAAAATGAAATATAGCAAATTTAGTCAAGCTTAGGCTGTTTTGTTTTGAAAGCTATAAAGAAGTAAACTATAACCTGCTTTATTTTTAGCAGACACCTCTAGAAAACCTTGCACAATGTTCTATTTATAAAACAGAGTCTGTTTTCATGCAAAGTTGCTTAGTAATAAGAGAAAAGAGCAAGACTGAGTATCGGAAAAATGAAATGTTTCTGTTTTCAAGATTCCTTGAATTCATCAGCATCTCTTTAAGACACAACAAAGCAATTGACCTGGTTTTAGTTTTGACTATGAGAGGTTACCTGGAGATTGATAAATTGGATTTTTTTTTTTTTTTTGAGACAGAATCCTGCTCTATCCCCCATGCTGGAGGGCAGTGGCGCGATCTCGGCTCCTTGAAACCTCTGCCTCCTGGGTTCAAGCAATTCTCATGCTTCAGCCTCCCAAGTAGCCAGGATTACAAGTGCCTGCCACCACACAGTTTTTGTATTTTTAGTAGAAATGGGGTTTTGCCATACTGGCCGGACTGGTCTTAAACTCCTGACCTCAGGTGATCCACCCACCTTGGCCTCCCAAAGTGCTGGAATTACAGGCGTGAGCCACCGTGCCCGGCTGAAAAAAAGTGGAATTTGAAATGAAAATGCAGTCTGTCTTTTATGAGTTATGCCACTGAGTAAGCGACAGAGGACCTAAATAATTATCAGGTCATTTCAATATCACATTATATAGAACATTTATAATTTCATCATCCTTTAAGGCATTAACAAAAAAACAAAACAAAACAGAAAACAACACAGAAGAAAACGTGGTTGAGTAAATTCAATGGCTATAGAAGATTCTAGAAAGTGAAAGTAATGACCCAATACAACTAGAATGTAGTGTAGGAAACAGGCAGTTTCCACCATCTGCTTTATCATTCTGATCAATTTTGTATCATGCTGTTTCCTAATCTTTACAATAACAATAAAACCAACATTTATTTAGGGGTTATTATGTGCCATGCACTCTGCTAGGAGCTTTATGTGGATTATTTCATTTAATGTTCCCAACAATGTGTCATTGCCATAGATAATATAATTATCTCCATCTTACAGATTGGGAAACAGATTCAGAGAGGTGCAGCAGCTTACTCAAGTTCACACCTTTGGAGGTGTTAAAGCTGGTTCAGACACAGGTCTGACTTCAGAGCTGCACTGTTAAGTGCTACCTAGTGTTAAGTGGAGCCAACAGTGAACCAACAGAGAATACACACACGCTGTGTGCCAGAGGCTCAATGTAGAGACAGAGGCTGGTCTCTAGTCTGCCTTTTTATCGTAATAATCCAGGAAAGCTTAGGAATCCCCCCCAACCCGCTGCAAAAAAAGCCCCACATCATCCATGACAAAAAGAATAGCTTTCCTGTTTTTCTTCACATTTTTCGCAGCCATTTCTTAGCTTCGGAAAACTTAGGTGTGTTCATCTCACCTTGCATATATATATTGCATATATTTTATACACAATTGTCTGTTTACCTGGCTGCCTCCTCATCCTCTTTCATCTCTAATTCTGATTTTTCCTGAATACAGAACCTGGTGGGAAGTCATAGTTCTGCACATGTATGATGGGTGAATGGAAGAGCATGCCCAGATGCAGATTGAACATAGACATGGTGTGCAGTGTATGCTGTGGGCTGGTTTTTCTCAAGCAACATGATGTCTTAAGGATTTTCTGTGTTGCCACCTAGTCTTCAGAATTAACATTTGCATAATATGTATTTTACTGGATATTCCAATCATGGCAAATTTTTTAACCATTCTTTTTTCTGCAGAATTTAGAAATAATTGTTCCCAATATTTTGTTGTTACGAATTACACTGTGTGAACAACTCTGTGCATAGCATTTTTACTTACTTTTGGATTATTTCATTAGGATGTAATTTCTAGACAGGGATTACTGAATCATAGTATAAGCATTATATATGGCCTGTGACAGCATTTTCCGATATGAATATAACGTGAACTACATAGGTAATTTTACATTTTCTGGTAGCCACATTAAAAAGTAAAAACATAAAATAAAATTTGGTTTAATGATATATTCTATTTGACCCAGTTATCAGAAAGCAATCATTTAAACATGTATTCAATATAAAAGCTATTAAAGTATTTTCACATTCTTTTTTTTAATATGAAGCATCCAAAATATGATGTGTGTTTCGCACTCACAGCACATCTCCGTTTTCAGACTAGCTACATCTCGGGTGCTCAGTAAATACGGCTATCATATTGGGCAGCACAGGCCTGTGATATGTCTAATCCAGTATTTTTAAATGACCTTTGCTTTTTAAAAGCCCAATCTTAATTTGCCTTGCCCTTTCCTAACCTCCTCCAGTTACACGTAGTATCTGGCTCATTCCCTTGGGCACTTATTTTAAGCTGTCTTGACTTTTTCATTGTTATGAATATTTTCTTGACCTCTATTTTGTGTCAGGCACTGTGCTAGATCTTGGGGGACACCAAGATAAATAGGACATGGTTTGCAACCCACTGGGAGAAGATAGACATACCCATAACACAACGTGGATTCAAATGCTTGTCGGAATGAGATAGGAAATAATTTTGAGAAAAAAAGACACACACAAGCAAGTTATAATGCAGAGCATGACAAATTCCAGAAATGAGGATTAAACAAAGGGCTGAGGGGATTGGGGAAAGCTTCTTGGGGAAAATCTAATTATGAATTGAGCCTTGAGGGCTCAGTGAAATTTTAATGGGCAGAGATATGGGAGAACAGTTTTGCCTGTGATGATCTTGTTATCCCAACCAGATGGCAGGTTGGTGAAGAGTGGGGCATTGCCTCACATTGCATTTAGATCTCCCCAGAGCGCCCTGCCAGAGTTTTGCAGTAGAAGGTGCTCAATAATGTTTGTTGAGCCCAATTAATAATATATGGTTGGCTGGCACACAGTGAGGGAGACACCGGGTCTGTGTGCTTGCTTTAACCTCTGAATTGAAGGGCAGTCTAAGCTTTTTACTCATTCCTCTGATTGTGTGTACTGCCAGTTTGCAGTCACAGTTTTCTCACTTTACTAAATCGGTCTGGACTGAAACTAGTCGTTTAGAGCCAAAATGGTAGATAAATGGGGGCTAACACTTTAACTTACATCTGACCTCCTTGTCACTTATTCCAATTCCCCCGAGCTTTCAAACAGCACAAACAGGCCACAGGGACAAGAAATGACATGGGAATTAGAAGACACTTATCAGAAGGTGCTTTCCTTTTATTTGCAACTCACACATATAGGCCTTTGTTTGACAATCTTGCTAGAGCCTTAGGAATTTTTGTCTTCATTCCACAGGTAAGGAGACAGGAATTCAGAGAGGGTACTTATTCAAGGTTATATAGCAAGTAAATTGGAAAAGTCATGACTAGAACTTCTCTTTTCTATCTCCCAAGTGAACGTCTTCTTTTTATTCGCAGTTGGCCCACCCATATCAAATGTCATCTTCCATTGCTTTGTGACAGATCTACTCAATTCTTTGGTATCCACATCCTACATCTGAAAAGTAGAGAAAAGGTAAACTTGGAGGTCATATGAAGTATGGAGAAGATAAGTTAGGGAACAAAAACCAAAGGGTTGGTGATATTAATATCTATAATGATATTAACATTCATAATGATGATGATAAGAGTCACCATTTAATTTTTAATCTATATAGGCAGGCTGTCTGCTAAATGTATTACATATATTATCACATTTAATCTGCACAACATACGTGTATGGTTGCTATTTTTATCTCCGTTTTATAGATGAGAAAACTGAGATCAAACAGATGAACTTGTCCAAGGTCATATTGCTAAGTAGAAAGCAGCTGGAATTTGAATCCAGACCTAACTTCTAACCCTCTTAACTTAATCATTGCACTACAAAGTTCTGGTTCATGCCAACTTAGCTTAGATGACCTTAGACAAGTCGCTACAACTTCTATTTATTTTTTATTTTTAGAGACAGCCAAGGCTGGAGTGCAGTGGTGTATCAGAGCTCACTGCATCTTCAAACTCCTGGGCTCAAGGGATCCTCCCACCTCAGCCTCTCAAGTAGCTGGGACTACAATCATGAGCCACCATGCCTGGCCCCCAAAATCCTATTTATGTAGACTGTTTTTCCCAAAATTAATACTTTGCTCACCTCTTGGTAAACTGATAAATGTGAGAATTATTTGTAAGCAGCAAAGTGGTATACAGATATATAATGTTGTGTGCATTTAAACTGAAATTTCTCAGTCAGATGAGAGATATATACCAGCAACAGAGTGATGTCTGGCACTAAGCAGGTGCTCAATAATGTGGCTTATATTCATTCCATGAATGAATTTAAGACTTCCTTTGCTGAAGATGCTTTTTTATTGCCACATATGGAAATGGGTGGTAAAGAGAAAGAAGGCAGGCCGTATGTCAGCTTCCTGAGCAAAAGTCCCCACACCCACTAATTTCCCTACCCCCTTAATATTCTAGGGCATTAATGGGATGTAGCTAGGGAAGAAACCACCTTAGAAAAAGTAGAGTCGAAGTAGATGTTGAATTCTCCAAATTCTTCCATCCATGCTCCACTTGCATTTAGCCATCTGGAGAGTTTTACATTGAATAATTTTTCTTCCAAATGATATATAGTCATTATAGAAAAAGTTAAATAAAAAAAGAAATAGAAAGGGAAAAAAATTCACATCACCCATAATCTTTCCCCTCTCCCTTCACCCCCAGAGATAACCTAACCATTAGGCATGTCCGTCTGTTTCTTTTTCTTCAAAGCATTTTTTACATGTTTGAATTCATACTGATACACGAAAGGTAATACTTTACTTTTCCACTGACCATCAAGGAATTTTCTCATGAACTTACAAACTCTTCATGAACATTCATTCTTAATTCAGCTGACAAATACACATCTTCTCTGTGCCAGGTGATGGGGACACAGTAGTGAGCCAGACTCATTGAGTTTCCAATTGACCTTATGTTTAATGGCTGTATGGTATTTTATTGTCCACTTATCAATTGTCCCCTTTGGGTCTATTTTGCAGGTAGCAGGCTTTCTTGCTAGTAAAATGCTCCCCAACTGTATATCCCCTTGATAATGCCCTAGAATATTAAATAGCATACAAAAGAAACCAGTATTAGCAACATAAATGTGTGACAACACACACACTCATTGTAAATGAAATCAAACGTAATAAAATTGTGAATTCTCCTGTATTTGGGGGCAGAGATTTCATCAGTTCCTACTTGTTTATTAACATCAATTCTTGAGAGTTCGCTATGTAACAAGACAAAATCCAGCTACTCCCGAACCTACCTTTCCTCTTTTTCTTATTTTGTTGGGAAATCTAAGTTAGAAAAACAATCTACCTGCCTGGTTGCCGTGACATGTCTAAAGGGTAGGATGGGGAAGAGGAGGCACAGGTATTCTCTGTGAGTTTCCTGAGTACTTGGCAGTCTTCCTACCTCCTCCCCTGTCCTGTTCGTCCTGTGCTCTGGAGCCAGCCAGGCATGTGACACACGCCACCCTTGCAGGCTCAGTCTCTGGTAGGATGTGGGTTTTTGTGTGTTGTGGTCCTGGTTTCAGCTGCAGGGCCTTATTATGGAATGTATAGGAGGAAACGGAAGGACCTCCCTCCCGCTCACACCAGTCCTGTCACAGATGCCCCAGGTCACCTCCTGGCCTCAGGGCCTGTCTGCATTTGGAACTGCTGGATTAATTTTCACATCATTCTGATGTTCCCCAAGCTCCTCTGAAATTAGGTTATTTAAAAAAGAAGGCCAAAGTTTAAAGACTTCTGTCCAGGGCACTGCTACCTATGAACTGGCTGGCTATGGATTTGTTCTGGAAACTGTATTCAATTTCATTTTCTCAGCACCTGCCATGCTAGAGCCTGGCTCATTATAGGCATCCAGGTGATGTCTGTTGAATGAGTGTATACCCTGGGAGGTACCTTACTGAGCCCATCCTCACTGGGCTTTCAATCCAGTAACTGTGCACTTCACAAAGAAAGGGACTGGGACTTATTATCCGGGTCTCCCTGTGGTCAAGCTTAGTGCCTGGCACCTACTGAGCATTCAGAAACCTTCTTAGATAAAAAAAATGAATTCTGCATACCCACACAATGGCATATCATTCAGCTGTAAAAAGGAATGAATTTCTAACACATGCTACAGTATGGAAGAACCTTGACAACATTATGCAGGGTGAAATAAGCCAGACACAAAAGGACTATTACTATCTGATTCCACTTACATGAAGTACCTAGAATCGTTGAATTCATAGAGACAAAGTATAATAGTGGTTACTAGGGACTGGGGGAGAAGGAATGGAGGAGTTAGTGTTAAATGTGTATAGACCTTCTATTTAGGATGATGACAAGAATTTGGAGATGGATAGTGGTGGTGAAAGTAATCGGAAGTAATGGCAAAAACCGCAGTTACTTTTGCACCAACCTAATACTTACTGCTACTGAATTATAGCTTAAAAGTGGTTAAAATGGTAAATTTTGTGTTATGTATATTTTACCACAATAAAAAGACTGCCATGAAAAAAGGAAAAGAGAAGACAAATATCCCTTTTCTTTACGTCTACTTCTCTCCATCTGTTAAGCCTCCCTTTTTCTTTCAAACCTGGATGATGGGAACTGTGAGATTCCTCTTTGAAGAATTCTCACTGCTGAGGATTGGACATTAGTGCAGGTCCCACTGGGGGCTGCTAAGTTCACCGCGTTTCCTCTCCTCAGGGTCCCAGGGCTGAGCAGGACCAGCCCTTGTTTTAACTGAAGGCACCCTGGTACCTTGTCCTTTGATTTCTGCAGCAGCAAAACAAAGAGCCACTTATGTAAGCACCAAGTCATGTCCAAAATCTGCCTCACCTGTCCACCAAGACAGAAGTCCTGCCATGATCTTTCCTCTGCCTCGTCAGGCTCTCTTTGCATGATGGATGGGCGTCATGTTTCTTACAGCCATGTAGAAGGAAACAGATTGAAAATATTCCCCTTCCTGCTATGAACTTGTTTACAAGATTAAAGGCAGGTATGCTTGAGAGGGCTGGGCGGACACTATAAGATTATTTTTAATAATTCAGAGCACGCCAAGTTCGAAAACTGGTCATGTTGTCTTTTGTTTCTTGGTTTCTACAGTAAACTCTGCTTACACCACCTCCTTTCCAGCAGAGGAAAAGAAAATCGGTAACAGAGGCTTAATGCTGACACTTGTTCTTTATTAGTTACAAAAAAGGGACACAGCGGGTGTGTTTGTAAAGATGTCCACGTGTGCTGCCTGGGTTTAAGAAGCCCCCATGAGTAGCTCATGGGGCTCAGGTGACCACCTCAGGCACAATTTGTTCCTTTCCTGTCCATGACACACAGACCACATTATTCACCCAGGCCTGCCCTTTATCAAAACAATATCTCTTTTCATCCCAAGGATCTCATAACGAAAGACCAAGCTACAAAGTCGTAGTGAAGAGATGGGATCAGACAGCTGGTGAGAGAGAAGCCAGCACTACCCTTTGGAGGCAGCTGGGCTGGTGGTTTGGGCTAGCCAGGCTTCCCAAGCAGCTGCAAAGGGGTGGAAATCTTGCCCTGATGTTAAGTTTTCCTTCCCTCTCCTAGCGATGTCAATTGGTGTGTGTGTGTCTCTTTGCTGCACAAGGTGTGAAGTTGCTCTGTGGGCTAATGCAAGACATCTTTTGAATTGTGCAGAAGAGGAACTTCCAGGCTGCCCAGAGGAGGGACTTGGGAGTTGGGGGTGGGGTGGTACATGGCCTTCCTAAACAAAATCCAGAGCTAAGAAGGGAAAACGAGGCAGGGAGGGGAGGGAGCAGGGGCCAGGTGTCTGCCTTTCATCTGGATATTCAAGATGACACATCTGGTGCCAGGAAAACTGCTATTTCTAACTGACGGGGAAGCTTTGCAGTCAAGGGAGGGCTGAGCTGTCAGGTGAGCTAGAGATCAAGAATTATCATGACAGCTTCATGGCATGTGAAAGGCGCTGTGAAGTGCAGTATGATTTTAACCAGCGGTGGTTAAATTAGCTTCTCTTGGACCTGGTGTGATGTGCAGTCGGAGAGGGGCCGATGGCGGCTGGGAGTGCCAGGCGTGAAGAAGGTTGCAATTCAGAAGGGCTACCATTTAGAAAAGAAAGCGTATGTGAAAATTGGCTCCCGGTTTCTGAGTTTTGCTTAATAGAGGTGCCAGGCAGCAGTGATGGCATTAATTAGTAGCTTGTCAATTCCTTCGGTGAACCTCTCTTCACCCCCTATTATAAATATTCCAAGGACCCAAAGTAACCGCTTGTCTGAACTTCCCCAATTTAAGATCTTGTCAAAATCTGACCACCTGTACTAGCTGGCTAAGCAGCCTTGACTAACCGTTTTGCCCTGTGCTCTTGCATTCCACAGGATTGTCCATGCAAGACTGAGCCAGTGAGGGAGCGAGCAAGTGAGCGAGTGAGCGAATGGCTTTCTGAAAAACTTCCACTCAAAAGTGAACTGAGGAAGTACCTTTTAATAAGTAATCAGCCAGAGGAAATCAGGCTCTGTCTAGCCATCTAGAAATGCTTGCCTATGCATTGGGGACTTTCAAAAGTCTGGAGCAGGAGGGTCTATGATTTGATGGACCATGGCTTGGGAAATTCTAGGAAGAAAAAAATAATGTGAGCAATTCTCTCTGTGTATGTATATATGTACACACACATACATGTATGTGTTAATATATATCATATGTAAATTAAAAGCTGTACATTAACCCTCTGTGCCAAAAATTTTACAAAAGTTCATTCACTTTATCCACATAGGCAAACATTCTGTTTTTATTTGTAAAAACTGAAGTCCAGAGAAGCCAATAATTGGCCAGTCTGGAACTTGAACTTGGGTCTGTTTGACTCCATAATCCATGCTCTTAACCGTTGCCTTCAAAATAAGAATGGCTAACTTTTAAAGAGCCTGCAGGTGCTCGTTACGCTAACTGGCACAGCCAACCTGCCAGCTCCTAAAGTCTGGGTGCTATGTGATCTTTGCACTTTCCCCTTCACAGCTTCTGTGCCAAATCCGAGCACAGCTGCCCCAAGGCTTCCAAGCTGTAATCCCTGCAGAAGGTGCCCAGAAGACTATAGTAATAAGAACCCAAGTCTTTTTGATGCAGCCAGCTCAGGACCTGTCTGTGCATTGAAAATTTGTGGACGTTGATTTGTAACACCAGGGCTGTGACCCTGAGTAGCCCACCTGAGGATAACAGGCACCAACTTCCTGTTTCCAAATCCTGCTTTCCTAGGACGCACCCAGCCCCCACTGAAGTTTGTGGGGGAGTAAATTGCTATTCACCTGTCCAAGCCTCCCTGGATTTATGGCTTGGCACCTCCCTTCTGCCTGCACCACCGTACTGTGTACTGCAAACACAGATGACCTTTTCAGCGATTTCGTCCTAACTTGCTTCCATAAAGAAAACCTGTTTTGTATTGACATTGTTTGGAGTAAGTTCTGCCTATGTTAACTCCCTTAGCCCCTGCCCCTGGAATTTCAGCCCAGGGAGGCCAAGTGCTTACAATTTCAAGAGCAAGGGGGAGGGTGCTTTGAAAGCATCCCCAGCTTCCATCCATCTGAGTCTTTGGTCCAGTGGCTTCAGGCAGATGGAGTTGCTCTCCTTCCTTCTAGTTTTCTAATCTCTCCCTAGAAGGGGAGAGGTTGCAGGCTCAAATTGGCCCACTGGCAATAGGGTGCTTTGTGGGACATTTTTTTACAAGTTGGTTCCCATGTGGTATTTGTTAGTCACAGCTAATTATTAAGTCCTTTGGCTGAAGCAATAGACATTGTTCCCTTGGATTCCCTCCTCCTCCTTTCCCCCCTCACCCCCATTGCTACACAACAAAACCCATTGTGGGGCTCTGGAGGTTGGCTGTGCACGTATTTTCCAGTGAACCCCTGATGGGCTCACTGCTGGGGTTTCATGTTTCAGGTTGAAACTCAACTGGATAAAGCATTATTCATTGGCACTGACACATTCAGTGTTCTGCTCTGTGTAGATATTTCTCTCACACTAGACTTGGTCCCTCACAAGCAGTTTAGGTAATTCACTGAGAGCAATTCACTGCAGTTACTCAGAACATGGATAATCTGCACAGAACTATAAAATATTAGGATTTTTAGATATGGAAAGATCATCAAGTGCCAGCTTTGGCCAGCTGTGTTCAGAGGTGCAGGTTGGAAAGGAGGAGGGAGCTGAGTGAGTAAGCAGGCTCCAAGTTCCTTCTTCCCAGTCCCCACCTTTGCATTTGCCTGCTTTGTGCATTGCATTTCTGCGTAAGATTTCTACAACCTAAAAGCAATCTTGAAATCCAGTAATTGAGTCCACTCTCATTCATTGCTCAGGTGAGGAAACTGAACCAGTGAGGACCTTTTGCTAACCTAAGGTTCAGGTGAGCCAGTGAATTAATTTCAGCATGAGAATTAGCACACACATCTCCCCACTTCTGTATGCCCCATTTGTTATGCCACGCTGAGATAATTCTGGAATCCATCAGTGGGCTGCTTTTTCCATTGCCTGCCACTGTCTTGTGGAAAGACCTTACCTAGAGGATTTAGAGGACTGGAAAGCCCCCAGAACAGCCATATCATACTATGTTTTTACTAAAGGCCACCTCGGTTGCACAATTCCATGGCACCTCTTGGAGCTGTACAGTACACAGACTAAGATTCTGTATGGAGCAGCCTTACTTTTACTTTACATATATGAGAGCAAAAACTGAAATTGTGCTAGTAGGTTTTGGTCAGCATTGTGCAAGGGAAGAACCCAGGCTTTGGAGCCAGCAGATCTGGGTTCAGATCTTGGCTCTACTACTTACTGGTCCTGGGAACATGGACAAGTTACTTGATATCCCTGATATTCAGGTTTTTAACTAAAAATAGAGCTGATAATACCTACCTTAAAAATTGCTGTGAAGAACTAAATCCAATAACTTACGTAAAAGCTCTAGGTAAAAGCACATCAAGGCCATGATAAATGTTTTTTTTTTTTTTCCTGGAATATAACTGCTCTTCTTCTCATACACATATGGATCTGAGTTGAAATAAAAGACAGACATTGTTAAACTTCATCCTTAACTTGGAAACTTCTGGATTTTGTCACAGCTTAACATTAACCAAATGAAATTTTGGGTCTCTATAAATATAGACCATAGGTTTGTCTTATCTTTTACAGAGCACTTATAAAACTGAGGATTTCCTGGGGGAATATGGCTGTGGGGTTTTAAGAGAAAATTCTGCAAGGGAAAACAGGAAAGACTGAAAAATTTAAGCCCTGTTCCTTTGCCTCTGGAAGCCCCTGGGTGTCCTGTGGGTTCAGAGATTCACTATCCTCGCTGACAGCAAAATCAGATCTCCTCGTTGTAACAACTACCTGAGTGTGCTTGAGACTTGTTAAAATCCTTCTTTATTAGACGTCCAGATGAGAACCATAGGCCCAGAAGCTTGTTTTCAAAATCTAGCAAAACAGATGCTTTTGCTTGTTTTTCTCTGTCTCTCTTTGTCCAAAATGCTCACTGAGTTTTCATTGGGTTTCGAAGTTGCCTTTTTGTTTTGTTTTTACTTTTAAAACAAACCTTAGAAGAGGGTCACTGTAAAATAAAGGGGAAGGATGGGCATCCCAAATGAGAAAAGCTGTATTTTAGACTCTAATAAAAATGTTTAAGAACCTGAAGGTGAGGAATCTTAAAGGACAAGAGAGAGAAAGACTGATTCTTTGAACTCTAGAAGGGTCTACCTGGCATTATCCCCAGGCCTCCAATGCCAGGTGCCTCCCAAGCAAATTGAGGTAGGAAAGAGAGCACTACCTTCTCCTCTCTAAAAGCACTGCATCTAGCTGAGCAAGGCGGTGTGGCTGTGTTGACTGACCATGTGCCATATGTCAGCTGAGGCCCAGGGCCACTCCCAGGTCCCTGCATTTTATAGGCAGCTCAGACGTTGTAGGTACTGTACCAATTTTCTATTTCTGCTCTATCAAGTCACAGCAACTTTAGTAGCTTCTAACAACACATATTTATCTTACAAGTACGTTGGTCAGAAGTCTGACATGGGTCTCACTGGACTAAAATCCAGGTGTCAGCAGGGCTGCATTTTTTTGGAGGCTCTATAGGAAGATCTGGGTTTTTCGTAACTTTTCCAGCTTCTACAGGTTGCCCACGTTTGTTGCCTCCTAGTCTCCTTCTTCTGTGTTCAAAGCCATCAATAGCAGGTTGAGTCCTTCTCACATTGCATCACTCTGATCTTCTTTTCTACCTCCCTCTTCCAGTTTTAGGGACCCTTGGGGTTACACTGGGCCGACCTAGATAATCCAGGATAATCTTACTATTTTCAGGTCATCTGAATTCCATCAGTGACTTTAATTTCCCCTTGCCGTGTACAGTAACATTCACAGGTTCCAGGTATTAGGATGTAGACATCTTGGAGTGGAGGAGACATTATTGCTTACCCCAGGTACATACAATGATTGTATATATTAGGACTTTTTAAGTTTCAAGAAACAGGATCTAACTAAAGTTAATAAAAAGAACAAGATTTTATTGGCCCTTAGAAGGAAAAGTTCAGTTGGCTTCAGGTACAGCTGGATGCACATGTTCAACAACATCATTACAGTCCTCTCTTTTTTGTCTTGGGTTTCTTTGTGGTGGTTTCTCAAGCAGGGGCTATCTATAGGACAGATAAAATAGCTCCCTGGCAATTCCAGGCTCATATAAGTCTTAAGATTCAGGATCCCAGAGAGAAAACCCTGACCTCTTCTTAGATAGCACCAGCCAAATCCTGAGGGTGACTCTCATTGACACAACTTGGGTCATATGTACATCCCTAAGACTCATTCTAGAACAGGGATGGAATCAGTCTTACCAGAAGCACATGTACTGAGTGGGAAAGGGAGTGGTTCTCCAAAAGAAACTCAGATGTTGTCACCAAAAGACGGAGGAAAGATCTGAACAGACAAAAGCAACAGGTATCCACTCCACTATGTTATTACTGGATTTCAGAACCATGAAATTGATATATTATTCCAGTTCAGAGCTCACTAGGCTTCAAGCAACAAGATACTCAAGCTTGAAAGAGTACAGAAGAGTCTCACCCAGAGCAAGGAGTAAATTAATTCAGATAGTATATAAGAAGAGGAATTATATGGTGGCAAACATTGTTTTTGGAACCAGACTGCCTGGGTTTATATCCAAGTTATTAATTGTGTTTACCTAACCTCTCTGTGCCTCAGTTTCCTCATTGTAAAGTAGAGATGATAATAGTGCCCACCTCATGAGTTTGCTGCGAGGCTTAAATGAGTTAATACAAATAAAGGGCTTAGAATAGTACCTTGACACAGAAAAAGCATTAAATAACACAATATAATTATTCTCCTCATATTCTTATTTCTATTATAAGCAAGCACCCCGGGCATGGCTTAAGGACTTGGAAAGTGGTTAGGAAGCAAGTCTGATACTTTCCTAGTTTCTCCTTTTCTGGCTAGGGCTACACAGTCTCTTCTCTCTGGAACTTTCTCCACCATATCAGCGTGAACTGAGGTTTGCACGTATGCCACAGATTTTTGCATGGCTTTCAATGACCATTCTTCTCGCTCTGGTCTTGACTATACATGTCCACCACCAAATGAAAGCTGTGTCAGTGTTTCTAAATTCAAATTCTTGAAAGAATCTGATTAGTCTGGCCAGTGACTGGCTTTAAGTAAGTGTGCACTCCATTTGATTAGCTGTGATTGACAAGGTTAGGGTCACTTTATACACAGGTTTACCTCTTTCATTTGGCATGGAAGGGGCAGGTTAAACTGAAAGGGTAAGTTGGGCTTGGCCAGAAAATTGACCGACTTGTCTGTTACATGTATGCCTTAGCAAATTAGAATTTACCCACAGAACAAAATAGAACAGTTTTAAAGAATACTGATAAGATCTAGATGTTTGGGAATAGGATAACACTGGGAACTACTTAGTTCTAATGTGATTTAGCCTGTAGTATTTGCAGAGAGAAATTGATCAGTCTCCCATTACTTGTATCTTAAATGGTAGAGACATTTTCAGCACCGATCAGAAATGCTCAATGGATGGACAAAGACTCATTCCCTTCTACATGGAACATCAATCTCAAAAACTCATTCTTGGAGCAGAAGTTCCTGGGATGGAAAAAGGCTCATGTTCATTGTCAGGAGAGTGGATTCCAGAGTGACCAGGGATGTCCCCAAATCTTCCCTTTGGTGGCAGAAGAAAAGTTCTGTGTTTACTTTCTGTTTACTGTGTTCCTTCTCACTTTTCAGAGCCCCCGTATTTTTTCAGAAATCTCACTCCAGGGTATTCAAACCATCTTAATGGACAGAGTGCCTGTGTCAGAGCCCTCATCCTTTTCTCCAAGGACTTTAGTGAGAATCTTTCTGGAAAAGTAGAAAGATTTTCTCCTCCCTCCTCACTCCTCCCCTCACAGTGATTGTGAGGGAGAAGGAGTACTGCAGAATTTCTTAGCTGTGAGATGCTACAGGAAGGGTGGAAATGCTTTGGATCGGGGCTGGGTATCTTAGGAAGCACTGAGATTTAGGGGAAGACAAAGCATTGTCAAGATTTTGATAGAGGCCTGCTGGGAAAGTCTCCACTGTAAAGGCTCTTGTGCCCCTTTCTAGTGGAACAATTCGTAGGCTCCACGCTTACTTTCAAATGGATTGGTTTTGAAGCAGTCAACAAAAAAGCATCCTGCTGCCAGGGCCAACCATCAAAAAGAGAAAAGAGAGCAATGCAAACCGTGGGGGAATGTGCGAGAGAGAAATATTGCAGAGCGGAGCCGTGGCTCTGCTGGCCTGATACCATGTGCATTATCTCCCCCAAAGGACCCCGTGGTTTAATGGATGGGGCTTTAACCTACCCAGAGGTCAGTCTCTGCTGGACAAGTGGAACCTCATCCCTGAGGGCATTGACATACTCATGACACATGGACCTCCTCTAGGTAAGTGAAGCAAAGGTTGTCCTTTGTCATCCAGATGCCTTTTTTTCCAGGCATAATGAATAATGCTTCAGGGACATAATCATTTTCCTCCAAAAAAAAAAAAAAAGTGAATACGAGAAGAAAAGTCAATGTCTTTAAAGAAACTCAGTATGATAATTAAACTCAGCAGTTCTGCTGGGCTTACAGGTGTTCTTGAAATTAAATTTTTTGATTTAGTCAAGTCAGGGAAAAATCAAATGAGTATGGTGTGCCACAGTCTTCTGAGCTTGATAATTTATTTTAAGAACTGTATTCACTTTGGAGTAAGGGGGTGGGGTGGAGAAAGGAAGGAAGATTCGGACCTCCCAATCACAGGGCTTTTGAATGGCAATGAAATGATGGAAATTTTTATTCAAAGGAGCTCATTTTCCTTTTCCATATAATGCTGGAACCTGGAAGACCTTTAAAGTTTAACATTTGAGCTGATAATTTTAGAAAAGAATCCTTTTTATAAGCTGAGGTATTTCAGTAAGAACTTACACTGAAAGTTACTTAAGGATACTTACCCTACAGGCACATGGAGGCTGCATCCAGATTTATATTGTCTGTGTGCTTCAAAGCCTACCCACTAGTGAGCCACATTATGGGCCAAAGAATGATCAGTTGACTTATTACCTTTTAATTTTTCACGAACTTGTTATCTGTTGGTTTAGCTACAGAACATCCTTCAACAAGGACTACCGCCCTGATCCCACATCTACTCAGTACCCATTATGCCAGGACCCTTTCTAAATGACTAAGGTGTGCTCAAGAAATTCAGATGTTTCACTTTTAATAGAAGACTGTTCGATTTTTTCTTTCTTTTTAAAATTGTGGCTAAACACACACACATACACACATATAACATGAAATCTACCCTTTTAACACATTTTTCAGTGTACAATGCTAAAAGAGTTTCTTAATCATCTTGGTTTGGAGAGAGGGAAAAAACACTTTATACAAATATAAATAATTTCCACAAATTTTCCTGTGGTTTGGAGTTTTTATCCATGTTACCCCCCTCCTTTGCCATCCCTAAAAATAAAAAGAAAAAAAAATAACATTCATTTCCTAATGCAAGTTTAATTTTTGTAGATATTTTCTCCTCCAAGGCACTTGGTGCTGCTCTCCTTCTCTTACAAGGGAAGTGGCCCATGTTTCACAAAGAAACAGTGGAAGTGAGCACCATGGCGGAGGCCATAGTGGCACATTTTAGTGATGGGGGAAGCAAGAAAAGAAGAGCCAGCTCTGTTGCAGACATGGGAATTATATAGATTTGCACAGGATCAGCAGTTCCTGACTTCTTTTAACACTTCAGAATCACCATTCCCATGCTTTTTCATCATCCCCAGACCACCTCAACCCATGTTTTAAAATATTACACTTGTCAACAACCTTTATCAAGTCATAATTAACTAAGTTCCCTATTTTACAACCATTAGAGTAGCTACATCATTAAATTGCTAGCTAAATATTGTGATCAGCATGAGTTACCCAGTGAGAGCATCCTACAGAGTTATCATTTCAGCTACCTTCATCCTTTTGCCTGAGCAGCCTAATTGGGTGCAGGCATGATTTCCCTTTGGCTATTTATTTCAAGGGACTTGGACATCTTCAGCAGAGAAACATTTACATGACTCGAGTATTATTTGGAATACAACTTTGAACAGAACAAACTTATCAAGTCATTGATTTTGGTATAAAAGCAAATGGCAATAAGAGTAAGTCTGAATTGTAGACTCCAAGGATTTCAGACATCCCAGGAACTCTTAATAGGGAAGCTAGCATCCCTCTCTTTATGGTAAAGGTGGAGTAAATGAGAGAGTGGCTGTGAGTAGAGCAGAGTGACAGCTACATCAAGGAGTTCCCAAATAAAAGGTCAGGCAAAGTCTTCCTAAGGTATTGTTAAACCTTAGTTAATATAGCTATTGGGATTCTTGTGAAAACGTGACATTGGAGAGGGGAGTGGAGAGACTGGCCTTGAATTTCTTCCTGCTGGTGAGGGATGCCACAGTGCCGTGAGACTTCACTGTTATGGTATAAGCAAGATGCTTTCTCAGATGTTTGCATATGAAATGGAATATTTTCCCCCTTCAGGAAAAACACATGCATGAGGTAATATGCCAATCAATGTAGCTTAAGAATTCTGCCCCACTATTAAAAAAGTTTTGAAAACGCTGGATAGATTTTTGCTGGGGACCCCACTTTCATCTATTTTCAGACTCTCTAGTCACTCCTTAAACCCCAGCGAATATGTCTTTACAGAGACACTAAACGTTCATGTCTGCAGTTTGGCCCGAAAAAGCAGAAAGCTGTTCCTTACTGCCCAGTTATTTCTAAATAATAGAAATAACCTAATGGCGCTGTGGAATGGGTTTCCAGAGATTACGATTTAGCCTTTCATCCTACCTGCCTTCTTTATGCCCTATCCTGCTGAGGCGTATGGATTCCATTCCAGGCCATAATCATCCAGATAGCTGACTTTTGCTATAATTGATGTCAGTTTTTATGGATTTTCTGCATTAAGTGTAGAACTAAGTGGCTTTTACTTTAAAAGTAGTCAATTAGCCCCAGCTTGCTGGATGCCACTGTGAGGTCACATTTTTGCCTGTCGCTGGAGAGGACAGGACCACAGGAGCAACCTAGCTTTCCAAAGCTTTGGTCATCCGGAACCACAAGGGGTAAGACTTAGTGTATCTAAAGAGAGCTGGGTATCTTGTGACCAGTTTACAGGCAGCTCCTCTCAGTCCTTCTTTGAATCATCTTAGAAGTAAACTGCTATAAGAAAGATATAATAAAATAGCGAAAGTAACTGAATTGAGGGAGAAAGAGATATTATGGGACTGCCGGGAATAAATGTCATTGAGCTCATGAAGAAGATTTGAAACCCATGGCTGAATAAATCAAATCTCCTACAGAAAAAAAAATGTTAATTAACAGGAAGAAAAAAAAATGGAAACCAAAAAAAAATTTCAAGAACCTAAAGAAGACAAAGTGACGAGTGAAAAGTTTCTTAAAAGCCATTGTGAGCTTTAATGGAGAGGCTAGGATTACAGATAATGTAATAAACCTTCTGTGAGTTATGGCTTCCTGAAAGTCTAAATGAAACCTTACCTGAAGAAAGAAAATTAAGTGTATTGATTGCATTTTGCCCTTAGGTTTTCGAGACTGGGTTCCAAAGGAGCTTCAAAGAGTGGGCTGTGTGGAGCTGTTAAACACGGTTCAGAGGCGAGTCCGGCCCAAGCTCCATGTGTTTGGTGGAATCCATGAAGGTAAGAACAGCGGAAAAGAATTCAAAACATTTTGTGCCCCTGTCCACTATCTCAGTCTACAACTAGGAATAAGTGGAGTAGTTGTTTTCAAACTTTTTAGCAGCGGGACCCTTTTATAAGATGAAGTCTTATGAGAAACATCTGAATATAAAGCTGATAAATATTTTATATGGACCTTCTCTCTTGTAAACAGAGTGGAAAGTAGGAAGCACGTCTGGTCTACTAACTGCAAACCCTGCACTCCCCCTGGCAGCTTCTGGAATCTCAGGGCTTTAACGAGGAATGTTTGATAACCACTGCTTTAGAGCAACCCCAAGGTATACAAGGAGTCATTTTCTCCTTAAGAGAGTTAGAAGAAATGGTCTGGATATTAGAAGCTATTTTAAGCCTCTATAGTCCCCTCCTACCTGTAAATATTGTGTTTCATATGGAATTAACACAAAGACCCAGGAAGACAAGGCATTCTCTGAAAAATAGCTTAGGACATGCAATGAAAGATATGTAACAGAAGTGGCGGGAACCTGCACATTTGCAGGTAGACTTTTCCTTACTAACCTCAGAAAACTATTTCAGACTTCTCAGAAATCATCGGAGCTATTAGCTCAGGCTGAGGTTAAGCAGAATAATTAAATCTCTCTTAAATAGGAACTGGTCCAGTTGCCATTTTTCTGCCTTTCAAGGTAAGCTGAGTCAGGTTCACAGAACCGAAAGCCTAACAGGAATCTTCAAGGGATCTGGGTTTTCTCCGACCTGCCTTTTTCAAATCATGGGTAACTGGGCTTTGAGACAGACACAAAGCCCTCTTTCAGCAAGCCTAAGGATTTCTGTCCCTAGCAGATTTTCCCAGTTACACACGCTTGTGTGCAATGGCCGTGTTTACGTGGGCAGCCGCTATATTCTCTCTAGCTCCTGCTTATGGCAGCTCTCTGGAGTTACTTATGAATATGCAGTCAAGTTGAGGTGTTTAAGGCTGTGTGCCTGAGGAAGCAAAAAACAAAGTTTGCTTTTTCAAAGCCCACAAATTCAGTGGCTTCCTGGTTAGGTGGGTAATAAAGAGCATATTGAAAATCATCCTACTGAGGCCAGAGAAAATTCAGTTTGCTCCAAGGGCAGGTACCAGCTGAGTGGGTGGAAAGCAGGGTGCAGCTCCCAGAGAGTGGATATCGGCCTGCCCTGGCTTTGAGCTATGCTCCCTGAAAAGGAGGGTACTGCCCTAAGGTATGATGGAGGGAACACCAGTGATGGGGGAATGCCTGGAGGGGAGACTAGGGAGGTGGGACCTCATATCTAAACTAAGCAACATTTCTGGAGGACTGTTATTCTGAAAACAGGTCTGAATTCGTGCAGCATGCCTATGAGTTTGCATTTTATCTTTGAAAAAAATCATTAATTACCTTTAAACTAGCCAGACAATTGGGGAATTCCACTGAAGCCCCAAAATAATAAACTTGCCTAAAAGGGAGGAGATCATATTCATATAAACTTGTCTCACTTTTATTCACTTAAGACAGCTGAAGAGGGCAGGAAGAGGGCAAATACCAACCTCTTGATGGAGAGAGATAACAAGACTTTATGACCCCAGAACTAAACAGCGCAGATTTTAAATGCCTCTTTTCTTTTCTTAAGAGATTTTTCCATTGACCCTCATTAAGTTCTCCACAGGCTTTACTTGGAGAAATTTTAGCCAATGTGGAAAAAAGCCTTTTCAGTTACTTCTCTATATCTTGGTAATTTTATTTTTTTCACAGCTATGTTTTTATATGCGATAAGAGCCTGATACCAACATAGAATCTTAGTTGAAGAGGCTATAAGGCAAATATAAGGTATTCAGGGAAATGTGCCAACTTGCAAACATGCTAAACATTTTATCATATTGAAAATTATCAAAGGAACATATATACCAAAGACCTAGGGAAACAACTTTCTCCCAATAAATCACAAAAGGTTTATATTGCATATGGGAAGTGTTTTTGCTTGATCTAGTATCCAGGTAAGCTTAGGAAACAGTGACCTAGGGTGATGTTTCTACACATCACTTCGACATGTGATTAGCTGACACTTTTGAATGAAATGGAACTTAGTATTAAAGCCACACAATTCAAAAATCATATATGGTTGACTTTCGTAAAGGCAGTTAAGAGATTATTTCATAAATAAGTAAATTGAGTGTCTACATTTCTTAACTCTCAATGCAGTATCCTTTCCCCCCTCACCTGCCCCATATCCCACTTGGAATTTAGTTGTGTTTGCCCCTGAGGAGTAATCCTTATATTACTCATTTTATTCCCTAGAACTCAATAGTTAACACAAGGCTTTGAAATGAAAATCCTATTTTAAAAGGAGGAAAAAAGTTTTTCTTTATTCTCCCTAGTAAAGAAATCACAGCCCTTCTTCAACAAGTTTAGCATTTAAATAAAGAAAAAAAAATTGCTCTTAGTTGAAGGAGAAGATTCTACCATTTAAAGAAAATAGAGTAAAATTGGGCAGTAGCTTCTGAAAGTCATTATATCTGAGGAGGCTCAACTGAATTTCATCTCACTGCCCACTGACAAAAATTTTTTGTTTTCCTTGCCTGACAGCCCTACATTCCATCACTCTCATTTGTATATATTACAGTAAATGTGACACGCTCTCCCCACAGGTTATGGCATCATGACCGACGGTTACACAACGTACATCAATGCCTCGACGTGTACAGTCAGCTTTCAACCGACCAACCCTCCAATTATATTTGACCTTCCAAACCCACAGGGTTCCTGAAGCTCTAAATGCCCTATTGGAATGTGAGGGAAGGTCTATAAACTGCCATTTTTCTAATTATAAACTTACATTCTCTTACTTATTTACAAACCCTGTGAGTTCTTTTTGTAAATTGTTGGAACACAAATGATGCTAGAGGTTGTGCTTCTTATTTTATTTTATTTTAAATGGGGCATCCATTTGAAATCAGAGGAACATTGTGAATTTGTAAAATGACTTCTGTTTTCTCAAAGGCCATGCCATTGTAAATTGTTAGTGTTCGCCAAAGGACAGCCAAGCTTTCTTTTAAAAAGTGATAAAAGTCTTATTTTAATATGCTTTAAGCTGAAAGAAAAAAAAATAAGAAACAGGCAGTGTTTTAAAAACCAACACAGATTTGCACAACTGTTTAAGAGTATTGTTTGAAATATTTTAATTTTCAATGTTTTGTTGTTGTTGTTTTCTTGGTAATGCTTCTTTTTTGCAGATGTGGTCCCAATTTATAGCAATCTTCTCAACAGAAGTAGGCATGGAAAAGACTTCTTTTCATACTCTCACTATAAAGAAAGCTGCATTGAGAAGAAAATGGCTGTCATTTAAAGGATGGTTTAACTAGTGAGATTCCTATTGTGGTTATACAAGGTCTCATTGTTTGTTTGTTTCTTTTAAATTATTTCAGCTTTAAAAATACAGAAATGGAATCTGTCAAGAGCAGGTATTTCATACGGTTAAAAAAATGAACATGCAGACTCCTTTTCAATATGGGTTTATATATATAAGTATTTTTTGTGTATTATGACTACGTTAGGAGTTTATTATTGTCAAGGACAGTACAACTGCAAAGGGATGCTGTATAGCAACACATCAGAAGTCGGAAGGAACTGACACATTCTCTCAGAGCTCAAGGTCTTAAAGAGCTTGAGTTAAATCTAGGTACAGTTACAGGCATGTATAGACTTAAATGGATGCAATGGAAGCTAACTAAAATAAGGCTTAGTTGTCCTTTCTATTTAAATACCCCAAGTTGTCTTCTTACTTCCTCTCCCCTCTCCCATTTTGCACTGTGTGTCGATGCAATCTTCGCTAGCACAAAATATTGTCGCTAATAGTCATTTCTGTTTTCCCATTGTAAATGCTGTTGAGCTTTATTCTATTTTATGTTACTTTGTTAATGAAATTTAGGAAAGCAGTTGTTTCTTTAAATTTATTGTGATATTCTATATCTAGCGGCCTTTATATGCAAATAAAATTGCAAGATTTTTAAATTCGTGCTGTTTAGAGGGTTGGATGGTGGAGGATGGTAGTTTCGTCCTGGGGAAGGAGGGATTTATTCATATGCAACATCAGTAATGCCTTTCAGAAGAATTAGAATAAGTGATTTTTTTCCCTAATTTTCAATAAATTTTTATTACCCACCATTCACAGGCTGGCAGATAGATCGATAAGGCACTCAGTGTACTCTTTCCTTCCATCATGCTGTCATCTGTCTTGCCTTAGGTTTCATCTTTGGCTGTTGTAATTTCTACAGGAACAGAGAGACTGGAGTTAAGGCTGTGGATTTATTTTGGGCAAGTTTGTGATAGTGAGTTTGGGGAAACCGTTGATGACAGAGTAATCACTGCACATTCTCATTTTCCCCAAGAGCAGTCACCATCTCCTCCTCACTTTTGTAATGATGCCCACCCACAAAATGCTGTGGCAACCAAGAGGGGATAGCAGAAGGGTGGCGAAAACCAGAGAAAATAAAAAAGACATCACCCAGAAGAACCACTGAAGCAAAACAGCATAATCTTGGATCTGCAGTGCACCCTCAAAGTCTTATGTGTCAGGGCTCATTGGATTGTATTCTGGATATATGTTCCTTCCTCCCTACCTATTGTGGATCCTTTGGCGCAATTTCTGAAAGGTGTTCTTGATTTCAGTACCAGCAGAATTGACAGAATGTTCTAAGCCAGAATTCCTGCTCAGAGTCACATGTAACCATCTTGGTCTGTTGTAGTTGTTAATAGTTATTAAGTATCTTGGATGTCACCATAGGCTGTGTTGGACATTTGGGTCCAAGCTTGCAGAGCAGATGCTTGAGCTTCCCATGGGCTTCCCAGAGGGAGCTCATGACTGTTGCAGCTAACATGGACCGAAAGAGGTGCTATGACAAGTGGACAACACTTCCTTGACCTTCTACATCAGTAGAAGAGGGTGTTCACTTCAAGCCCCATCCTAGGGGGTTGGAGTGAGAGGTACACTACTGAATGGAAATTTCACCTGGTTAGTGTACTAGAAGCCAGAGACTCAGGCCTCTGGCTTCTGGAAAAACAAGCCTCCCAGAGATAGGTGGGTAATCACGATCACAAGTATGTATGCCCAGCCCTTGAGAGTACGTCTGGGCACAAACTAATTGAGCTAAGCACTTACTAAAATTGCTTTCCATTTTGTGGAGGCAGGAAGCTACCCAGTGTACTAAAACTAGAAGGCAGACTCATTTGTGGATAAAGCTTTCTTCAGCCAGTCCACCATTTCATATGCACGAGCTGCCTCTGAGGGATTTGTAAGCACTGTCCAGATGCCCAGAGCTTTCTACACTGGGCCTTACAACAACAAAATATTCAAAACAGCTCTTACAAATTGGGCACTTCCTATCCGTCCATCACCAGGCACCCTGTTGAACAGGTTGTGTATTTTGTTACTAATCTTCACAGAATCCTGCGTAAGGTCACATAAGCCTCGCTTTACAGATAGGAAAGTAAGATGTACCAAAATTAAATAACTTTCCCTAGGAAAAATGGAAGGTTCAAAAGCAGATCTGTCCATAGCCCATGCCCTTTTAATCATTCTTTGTCTGGACTGGATAAGTTGATGGATGCCCTCTGAGAGCTGATATAAGACAGGCACGGTGGCTCACACCTGTAATCCCAGCACTTTGGGAGGCTGAGGCGGGCGGATCACAAGGTCAAGAGATTGAGACCATCCTGACCAACATGGTGAAACCCCGTCTCTACTAAAAATACAAAAATTAGCTGGGCGTGGTGGCACATGCCTGTAATCCCAGCTACTCCTAAGGCTGAGGTAGGAGAATCACTTGAACCCAGGAGGCAGAGGTTGCAGTGAGCGCCGAGAGAGTGCCATTGCACTCCAGCCTGGGAGATGAGCAAAACTCTGTCAGAAAAAAAAGAGAGACTGGCACAAGCCTGGGGATATATCCTATCCCTCAAGTAGCAGCTCGCTGAAACACCCTGCAATGTGGCTCTTT
This sequence comes from Homo sapiens, assembly GCF_000001405.40. Classification (NCBI taxonomy): domain Eukaryota; kingdom Metazoa; phylum Chordata; class Mammalia; order Primates; family Hominidae; genus Homo; species Homo sapiens. Next base: position 30,408,241 of record NC_000011.10, on the reverse strand, counting down.
GACAGCCGTACATGGCACCTCATCCTCTCAGCTGAGGCCCAGCACAGCACAGGGGATAAGAGCACTGACCCTTGGGACAGTGTGGCTGCCCACATACTGGCCCCACCTCGGACTAGTGCTGATTTCTTTGCCTGGGTACTCACTTTCTATGTAAAACGGGGGTGATGAGGAGGAGGAAGTTGTTCTAAGTGCCATATGAGTTCATTGTTGGAGATCACTGTCTGACATCTAGTAAGTGGTGCACATGTATTTGTTAAATAAGGTCACCCATGCTTTGTCTTTAGATTCCCCAGGCAGGATTCTGTACCTTTTTAAAAAAATATATTTAATTTTATTTACTTATTTATTTATTTATTTATTTACTTATTTATTTGACAGAGTCTCGCTTTGCCACCCAGTCTGGAGTGCAGCGGTGCAATCCCAGCTCACTGCAACCTCCGCCTTCTGGGCTCAAGCAATTCTCCTGCCTTAGCCTCCTGAGTAGCTGCGACTGCAGGCTCGTGCCACCGCGCCCAGCTAATTTTGTAATTTTTGTAGAGACAGGATTTCCCCATGTTGCCCAGGACAGTCTCCAGCTCCTGAGCTCAGGTGACCCGCCTGCCTCGGCCTCCCAAAGTTCTGGGATTACTGGCCTGAGCCACCGTCCCTGGCCTTCAGTCAGGGTTCTGTCTGTTGACTCTCCAACCTCGAAAGCAGCAGCGGTATTGTTTCTGAGAAAGTTTGTTTGCATTGCTTAGGAACCGTAACAAGCCTCTCTTCATAAGGATAGGAAGAAGCCCAAGGGCATTAGTGGGAGGCGGATAAGGGAGCCTAACTTCCCAGTTTGGCTATCATTCTTTGCAAAATCACTTCTAATCTCCAAAGAGGAGGGGGTTTCTCCTCTTTCAAGTTGCTTAGAAGGGCACCCACAGATCTGCTTATTTCTCACAGCATCTCTCTGCCCTTGCAATCTTTCCTCTCCACCTCACCATCCACTTTTAGTGCAATTAGTGAATTCTTTTCTGTTTTTCACACAATCCCCTTTTGTCTTATGTTGGGAGGTTGCTGAAATCCCTTTAGAAACAGGTCACTGTTATTCTGACAGGTGGCCAGCCTTAAGCCTGCCTTCATCTCCATCATTTAAGTAAATAAATACCGTGACCTAGGTCTTAAGTAGGGAGAAACGGAAGCTGGGAGGATTTGGGATTTGTCAATTGCAGATAAAACACTTGCTGTGTCTCAGAATAATGCCCCATTCCCCACTCTCATCCAGCAAGGATGTGCAGCTTTGGCAGAATCAACATCCAGATATTATTTTGCTTCCTAGTCTCTTTTCATGCTCTATTCCCACTTTCCTGAAAGTTTTAAGATGCTTTCTGTGTAATTATTAAACAAAAGTGAATTAAGATCTACTTTTAAGGATTTGGCCATGAGGTGAGGCATTTGGAAACACTGCTAGGTATGGGGTAGGAACAATTGCTTGTGGGGAAGGTTCCAGGATGGGATGGTCCTAATGTGTGGTTTCACGGAAGGCCCCAGGACCACTTCTGGATGTCAGGTTCTTAGCACAAAACATTTTTGTTGTTGTTTGCTTCTGTGTTTGTTTGTTTGTTTTATTTTGTTTTCTCCTATCTTGCATTCAATAGCAGGATGTGTCGGCCTTCTAGCATGGCTCTTCCAGAAGTTTAGAGCTACTTTTCCCTCCCTTTTCTAAGTGTCCCCTCTACCTTCCTCCTCTTACTTTGCTTTTCCATGGGAGAGAAAAACACTGATTCAGAAAACTCCCTAAGAAGCTCCAATCTTCCCTGGTGCCCCAGTAAAGTCAGCCTCTGGAGATCAGGAGAGGTTCAGAGAGGATCAGTGGTATCACCATGGTCACAGAGCAATTCAAAGATAATGCCCCACTTTGGCATTTGGACATTCCATTTTGAGCATGAACTGATTTTTCAGCTTGACATTCAGAAATAATCAAAGATGGAGAGATCAGTTTTGGCCTGACATAGTGTGATTTTGTAGCACAGGACCAGCTGCCAATCTGTGAAGAGAAAACAAGATTATTTGAAAGAAACCTCAGAATCTGAGGTTTCCCATGAATGTTCCCATGAGGATTCATTTTCCTTTTCTTCAACCCGTCCACCTGCAACAATTCCAATAGGCTTCCAATTCCTCCTTCTACAAGAGAGATGGGTGCTCAGTTTCTACCTTTTCTACCTCAGAACATGATGGCTGTTTGTCATGCGTTTTGACATACATGTGTATGTCAGGTCTGGAAGCTGTTGGGTGTTGGTAAGAGCCCCCAACTTTGGAATCAGACATGCTGGGTAGCCTTGGATGTGCTCTTTTATTTCTCTCAGCCTCAGATTCCACACTTGTAGAAAAGGAATCATTCCCATCTCACAGTGGATTTGTCAGAATTGATACATTAATATCGACAGGACCCTGGGTGGAGGATTTTTATTCTGTCAATTGTAATTTCCTAAAGAGAAAAAAAAGAAAAAAAGGCAGGGGCAGAGGGCAAAAATAAAAATGTATATTATTTTCTGATGGCCACAGCCCGTCACGAGAGAAAGCTAATTCCTTGAACTGGACTGTGTAAGAAACCATACAGAAAATGAGTTCTTTAACTTTCTCTCTCTCTGAACTATCTGACAAAACATTTGTGGTGGGTTTTTGTCGACTCCTCCTCATTTCCTTCCTGAATTAGGGTTGCCTTACAAGACAAAAATCTTGAGGTGAAAAGGCTCTTTCATATCTGACAGCATCTATATCTGGATAATGGTGAGAGAGAGAAATGCATTTCCATTAGGAAGCACAGCCACAGTGGAACTAAAAGCATGGGTAGACTAAACACATGAACACAGAGAGCCTCCTCCCATCAATCAGCTTTGATTTTTATGAAGCCATAGTTACCATGAGGTGCATCTGAACACTCCCAGAGCCTGCTTGCCATGGGGAAAGGGCCTGTGATTTCATAGCCCATTTCTGTCCCAACCTTAGTTGATGACTTTGGGAATAGGTTGAGCTTTTCAGTTGAAGATCCTGAAATCACAAATGACTTGAACCCAAATGCTCCCTGTTTGCATGGGCTCACCACCATGCCTTTTGTATAAATGGGCTATCATGTTTAGGTAGCAACTACATAATCCTAAAAGGAACTCCTATTTTCTGGAAGCCTTTTCTGGATCCCCCAACCTACCTTGACCCAGAACACCCCCCTTTGGTGCTGCCATAGCCTCCCACATATACGTCCAGCTGTGCCACGTTCTGATTGTTGCGTGTCTGCATATGAGCTCCCCAAGGTCAGAGACCATGCCTTCTATCTGCATTCCCAGCATCTAGGTCTGAAGAAACACCTTCTTAATGAATTAATCACTATTTGGCAAATAACAGCTAGGTATGCGAGAAAAATAGGCAAAATCAATCACAGATGAAATCAACAAATATTTACTGAACACCATAAGCCAGGTGCTGTGCTAGTAAGCTTCATTTGTAAGACCCAGTATTTACCATGAAAGAGTCTTTATAACTAGATGAAGAAAACAAGATATTGACACATGAAGGTAAATGGTAATAAAAGATGTAAATAATAGTTAAGACAACAATAAAAGAAAGTTGGGGTCTGGAATACACAGGTTTCTCCAGTTACATGAGTGGCCATAGATATGGGGACGTGCGAGGTGTGGCATAAAACTCAGACAAGCACAGGCAGCTAGCCTAGGAAAGGGAGTCTGCCTGCTAATGGCAGTGTCAATCCCAAGTAGCTTCATTCCTGAAGGAGAAAAACCCACATGGCCAGTGGCAATTCCAAGTGTGTCACGTAGCTGGTTTGTTTTTTAATTTACTCTATGAAATGGTTTTCTCTAATGGCATGCCATTGACGAAATGCACCATAATGTCTCCATCCATCACCTCCAAATGCTTTTGCATGCATCAGTTGTTGACTCGTTTTCTCCCATTCAGCACATAAATGAGAGGAATGATTTATCCAAGGCCACCATTACTCTTATGTGGAATCCAAAATAGCTCTCTGGAGAAATACTGCCCTGAGCACTTATTTCTTTGTGCATCTCTCAACTTGTATTGAAGGGTGACTTTGGTCTGGGCTATAATGGTATCCTCCTGACCAGTGTTTCCTGGGAAGCTAGGCCAGGTCTCCATGGTGGTATATAACTCCTGGATGCAAGACCTTGTATTCTTCTGGGTATGGCTACTAGGGTTGGATGATGAGAAATGAAAACCAGGGCTTTGGCCTTTGGCTATGAGTGGGCATTTGAACAAGCAATGAGATTCCCTCATGAGCTCTCTGGAACTCATAACAGGAAGAGAAAGGGTACTACATATCTGAGTGCATTTTCTTTTCCTTTTCTAATTCATCTCACTTCCTTGAACTCCATCTCCCCATGCTGAAGACATATAGCCCTTTCTTCCTGTGAGTTTTGCATAGTAGTAGATCAGAAATGGAAAATAAATAGGAACATCAAGGTAATTCTTACCAGCTGAAAATTCCTTGAGAGAAGCCGAAGTATGGCATCTTTAGGATCTACTACTGTCTCAAATAACAGAAGGGGCCACTCCACATACCTTTTGTTTCATTAGACGATGGTGATAATGAAGATAAAAGATTTGAAGCATCAAATGGCATAGAGATCCTGGGACATTAAACACAGTATTCCTCTCTGTAGCATTAATAAATTGTGATGAGGTTTGAAATACTATATTTGCCTCCTTAGTTCTTGTTTCAAACAGCTGAAACATGTAACTTGGAAGGTTTCACCTAAGAAAATTTGTTGAAATCAATTCTGTAGGAACAAGAAAAATAACAATACTCATCACACATTGTTTCTGCATTAAAGTATTTTCGGTGAATGTATGTGTGTATCTACCTCAATGATGCTATGTCTAATATATTAATTCTTTCCTGTGACTGGCTATATTTCTGAGTACCAGCGAAATTGAAATAAGGTGTACAAAGGATAACAACTTCCTACATTGTTTTCTTTTCTTTTTTTTTTTTTTGAGACGGAGTCTCGCTCTGTCGCCCAGGCTGGAGTGCAGTGGCGCGATCTCGGCTCACGGCAAGCTCCGCCTCCCGGGTTCACGCCATTCTCCTGCCTCATCCTCGCGAGTAGCTGGGACTACAGCTGCCCGCCACCATGCCCGGCTAATTTTTTTTGTATTTTTAGTAGAGGCAGGGTTTCACCATGTTAGCCAGGATGGTCTCGATCTCCTGACCTTGTGATCTGCCTGCCTCGGCCTCCCGAAGTGCTGGGAATACAGGCATGAGCCACTGCGCCCGGCCTACATTGTTTTCTAATGGGCTGAATAACCAAAATTAAAAATCCAGAGCTAATCGTAAGCTGCAGTGGAAGCAATATGTTGGTTTCACATCTTATGAATGGAATCTGTGTTCTGAGATTCAGAAACTGTGGTAAGTTGGCATTGTACTTCTCACGTTTTTATTTAATAGGTCATTTTCCCAAAGAAGTGAGATATCCATGAGTACAGCATCCAGGAATAACAATAAAATGTGTTTGAGTTCAGAGATTATGCAAAGAAGTTTACTTAATAAAAAGCTAAGATGGGGGTGGGAGAATGGGAATAGGAAGGAGAAAATGGTCCTGACCCAAAACTGAATGAACCTTTAGATTTCCCAGGTCAATATGTATGACTTCTGTACATCTTTTGATCACTATCTTTCTCAAAATTATAAATTAATAGATTTGTCTCTCTGATCTCAGGACAGGTGAGTAGCCTGGTTGTTTTATTAATGTGAGGTCTGCTAGCTTTTATGGGGGACCAGGAGAGCTGGACTTCTCATCACAATCTGTCTGTGATGGGCTTTTCCAACACAATGGCACATAAGAGACTTTTGTGAGGATGTTACTCTCAAAGAAGACTTTTCTCAAGAAATAAATCACGTATCTCCAGCGAAGTGACAATATGCAGGTTATTCTTGCTATACTTGTGGATTCAGCAGTATTCAATTTATTGATATGAATATTTATATCCAGGCCAGTAGCGCTGCAGTTGTTCGTAGTATTTGCAGTGAATAGCTTGGCTGGGATGCTGAGGACATCACCCACTGTTTTTAAAGCTCAGCATTCTCAAAGCTATTTAAAGAACCCCTTCATCACCACCACTTTGGACCAATGTTAAAAGCAATTCAGTAGAGACATTCTCCTTCCATAACCCCCCAAATAATTATTGCTGACCTAGAGGCAATTCTGAAAGGAGGTATACGTTAGCCCTTCTAAAAATCTTATGTAGGCCGGGGGCGGTGGCTCACGTCTGTAATCCCAGCACTTTGGGAGGCCGAGGCAGGCGGATCACGAGGTCAGGAGATCGAGACCATCCTGGCTAACACGGTGAAACCCTGTCTCTACTAAAAGAAAAAAAAAAAAATACAAAAAATTAGCTGGCCATGGTAGCGGGTGCCTGTAGTCCCAGCTACTCAGGAGGCTGAGGCAGGAGAATGGTGTGAACCTGAGAGATGGAGCTTGCAGTGAGCTGAGATTGTGCCACTGCACTCCAGCCTGGGTGCTGGGTGACAGAGCGAGACTCCGTCTCAAACAAACAAAAAAATCTTATGTAGTTCCCTTTCATCAGAAAATTTTGAAAAATTACAATTGACCTTCTTTCAGTTGAATCTATGGATATAGTTCCTTTAGTTTGTAAGAAAATGCTTCTGCTACCCAGAGAAAGGTAAAAATATTCGGTTTTAGCCCTATTCTAGGGATGAGGCTCAGAAGTGTGATGGCACACCCAGTACATATCTTTTCATGTGCTTTTAGTGTCCAGTGACTTGCACTTAAAGGAAGTTAGATTGAGGTCAGCACTGGACATCTGTATCTTCTCAGCCATGCAACAGGTAAATGATATCATAAGGCCCTCCTGTGCTGGGCACTTTACTTAGCATAAGATTCAGTCCAGAGTTAGGCCAAAGAGAGAACCCAACCAAAGCCTTAACTACTAGCCTTAACCACAGCACCAGGGCAAATAAGCCTGTTTCTTTCCAAGTGATGGGAATGAAAATCAGTGGTGCTGTTCTGTTTTCTCCATCTGCTATCCTATAACACACAGTCACAATCTTCTCTACTGATTTTTCGAAAACCAAACTATTTTTATAACACTTTTTGGGGGACATGATATGTATAAACAGGAAAAAGGTATCAGTAAATTCATTTATAATTGTTTAGCCAGGCACAGTAGTTCACACCTGTAATCCCAGCACTGTGGGAAGCTGAGGCAGGAAGATCACTTGAGCTCAGGAATTCTAGACCAGCCTGGGCAACCTGGCAAGACCTTGTCTCTACTAAAAATCAAAAAAATTAGCTGAGGGTCGTGGCATGCACCTGTAGTCCCAGCTACTCAGGAGGCTGAGGCAAGAAGATTGAAGATTGCTTGAGCCTGGTAGGTTGAGGCTGCAGTGAGCCATGATTGTGCCACTGCACTCCTGGCTGGGTGACAGAGCAAGATGCTATATCTAAAAAAAAAAAAAAATGTTTGATGATATGTATTGGAAAAAGAAATGAATGGTAAGTAATTGATCTTGAATGATGTAGTTTGGAGTACATGTCTATAAGCCAGAGAAGTCTGGCTAATGTTAAATTTTGGGAATTAAAGTTTCAGTCCTTTTAAACTTTTCACTCTTTGGATGATGTCTCATGACAGGTTAATGAGTGCATGCTCTAGTCTTCAAAGATTTAGGACATGTCTGGCTAATATTAACACTGACATCTGCAAAGTAATATTGGAATGGACATCCAAATAATAAAGAATGGCTAGGGCCTTGATCATCCTGAAGCTTTGGACACATCCTAGACTTTCCTACAGTTTTAGGGTATTTTCCTTTTCATTCCATTAAGGCACTTAAAATACTCTCCATAGAGCCAGGTGCAGTGGTCCACATTTGTAATCCCAAAGCTTTGGGAGGCAGGAGTGGGAGGATTGCTTGAGGCCAGGAGTTCAAGACCAGCCTGGGCAACATAGCAAAACCCCCATCTCTAAAAAGAAATATTTTTTTATTAGCTGGATGTGGTGACAGGAACCTGTAGTCCTAGCTACTCAGGAGGCTGATTAGGAGGCTGATGCAGGAGCTTGAGGTTACAGTGAATTGATTGTGCCACTCTACTCTAGCCTGGATGACAGAGCAAGATCCTATCTCTAAGAAATTAAAAAGTAATATGCTGTATAACCCTGATCTCTCGACTGCCATAAAATCTTTCTTGCACCTAAAAAAATGTTAAAAATAAATAAATAGACTCTCCACAAATACTTATCTCTAATTACAGTGAAAGATGTTACTACAAGCTTAATACTTTAAATGTTTTAAATACAGTGTTGAGGTTTCAGTCTGTCTTTGCTGTCAGACTGGTATTTTTTTAAAAAGTATATATGGATACAAACATGTTAAAAAGTTTAAATATGTACATATCCTTGTAATATATATATTTTCTCCCAATATGTTTTATCTATTCTGTTTAAACAAAATCTTAAAGGTTAGAGTTTATGACCTTAATTTGGTATCTGCAGTTTATAAACTTTAGCTGGTAATTCAACCTATTTCTATGAATTTATTTACTGAGACTCTACATGAATGAGGTCTTTGCTACAAAGGAAACCTTTCTAATCTTCACCCATTGTCCATTTACACATGAGTAAATATGTTAATCTGTTCATAAAAGGATAAAATAATTCTGAAGATAAATGCAAAATGACTTTTACAAAGACACAAAACAGTACATTACGTTCTACTCTGTGTGATGCCTGCCAACATTCCAGAGGACAGAGTATTGATAAAATACCAATTTAAAGGATTAGAAGAAATGATTTCTCGAATCAAGAATTCCATTTCTCTGTGATGGAAGTCTTAATTCTAGAGGAAAGGAGAAACATATATTTTTTTCTTACCTTTGTAATTTGGCAATTCTTAGGCTAATAAATTAGAGTAAGTGGTTTGTCTGAGACATGGAGAAAATTGGATGCAGCATGAAAAATTAACAACAGTGTTAATGAGAAAATGGTTGACTCATAAGTCCTGTGCTTGAATTTAGTATGCAAGGTGATTAGGTCTTCACAATGTTGTTTATTAAAAAAAAAAGTATTGGATCTTTTTTTAATGTTTCCATATCCTGCCAAGGTCAAAGAGGACAATATCTGTTTTGTCACATTATGTTTTCATGTAATGGTGGTTGGTTTAATGAAATTGTTGTAGAAGAGCTGGCCGCCAGGGTATATCAGACTTGTGTGTGTCACTTTTGGAGCATCTTTCACAAACAATTAGCTCCTTATAAGATGTATGATCGTCCTCACATTCATCACGTATGTCCCATGCCTCTCAAATAAAAAAACATTTATAACCATTATCATCAACCAAAATTAACCTGGGCCCAACTGAAGAGAAGGAAGTCAAGTTTTCAGTTTTTGGTTGGCAAGTTAACTCTTTCAAGTCTGATACATACCATTTCATGCTCCTTACTGGATGGACTTTGGCATATTTGTACTTCCAGAGAGTTTTTTTCTGATATTAAGGAAAGTTTAAAAGCTTTCTCTTGGCTGGGTGATGTTTGATTGCAAGGAACTAAAACTTACTCCAATTTGATCAATAAAAGAGAGGTTTGTTACAGGATACAGACATAATAAATTTCAAGAAACAAGAAGCCCAGAGAGGGAAAGAACCAAGAATCTTCAGGCAACTTAGTAGCCTCATGTAATCTCAGTAGTTGTTCATGGACCTTCTATCTGATTCTTAGTAAAAAATCATCTGACCATCTGATCAGCTTAGTAAAAAAATCATCTGATCAGCTTTCTTCTAGTGAATGAATGGTACCCCCAGGTCATGTGTTCACCCCGATCTAATAAACGGTAACCCCAGTAAGGTGAGATCTAAAGCTACCCCTTTATGGGAATGAGTGGGGTAGGTAGAGTTTGGGTCAGAGTAGTGTGTTAATGAGGACAAGTTTTGAGGGTGAATCTCATAAACATTATTCATTATTCATTATTCTTATCCACAGTCCCAAACAATTTCAGCCCTATCACTTAGTAACTCATTAGCATGACTGTGGAGATTGGCTGAAAGAATATGAGTGAATTGAGGCAAATTTAACTCTGCTATGGAAGAAGAAAAAGCTGTGATAATTCATAGCCCTTGAGGTACTGATAGGAATCATTAGTACCATGTTTATCTGCAAGGATAATGACTTAATACCAAATCTCCATCCCAGTTTCTTTTGTTTCCTACAAATTGGAGAAATGAATTGGTCAAAGTCAAGGAAGGAATTGGTCAAGCTAAGAGATCTTGCAAGATGTTTGGTCTACATTAAAGACCCATAATAGACTGATTTTTAATTACAAGGTTGTCAGTTCACAGGGTACATGGTTGAAAAAATGAACCTCAGATGATGATAATGGTGGTAAACAGCTTTCATTTTTAGTATCATATTTTTAACATGGGATTTGTTAAAACAGCAGGACAAGACTCTACTCCCCACTAGCTAGTGAGGTGTTTATTGATCAAATTACTTAATCTCTTGGAGCCTGTTTCTTCATCATTAAAATGGGAGTGATAAGTGTACTGATCTTACAGGATTGTTGAAAGAAGTCAGTGAGAAAACAAATGTAAATTGCCTAGCATGGTACCTGACACATGTGAGCTACTACTATCAAGCATTTATATAGACCTTTTATGAATGTCAGTGGTTGTTTTATGACTTATCTTCCTTGAATCTCAGAACAATCCGATGAACTTAGAGCAGTCAGTGAAACAGTTAAGTCAATGTTATAGTTTGTATCGCCAAAATTAGATAATTGAGTCCTAATGATTACGAAGTCAACGAATATCAACCAAATTTAACAGCAAAATAAATACATTATTGAATATGTAAGAACTATAGTATGCTTACCACCTGTGTACTCCATATGAAATTTACTAGAGGAGTTGCTCCAGAAAACTTATAACAAGATCCAAAGTGAAAAACAAACTAGCATACAAGAAATAGTGGCTGATAAGTATGACTCAGAAAATGGAAAAGAAGGTAGAAAAGGAAGAGGATCCATTTGAGAAACTTAGAAATTTCTCTTTTAAGGGTTTAACTTCTATACTTCTCTTAATTACATTAGTTTATTTCACAGTAAATAATATTTTCTGAATCACAACCCACAATATTGTTGGTTTTTAATGTTACAATTTACATACAAAGCACTAAAACTGAATTACACTTACAGAACAGAATATAAGCCTTGAAAATGTGACAATAACAATATACCTAACAAAAATTAGGGGTGACATATAGGAATAAAGAAGAGAGATAGAAGATTGAGCATATTAGTGGTCTTGTCTTTCTTTGCAGGGAATCACTAGTTACTACCTAATTTGATATATCCAGAAATTGAGGCATAAACATACCATGTAAATTTTAATTGCTGCTAAAGTAGTTGCCCCAGGATTGGGACAAGAAATGGAAGAATTTTACTTTCCCTTTCTATTTTTCTACACTTTATGAATTCTAGTTTGCATGTGTATGCATTACTATTTTAATTTTTAAAAATAAACTGAAAAAAGAGCATTCAAACTCATGGTTCAAATGGAGATAATTCTATTCAGGCACCTAAATTGAAATTATGGGAAAAAAAGAGTGGAAGCTGATCAGATGTAGGAAGGTGTGACTATGAGCTTGCAAGTAAACCTGGGTTTTCCTTAATTAAATTTGGTTTCCTTCTCTTTCTCCTTGTTTCATTGAGCTGAAATATGGAATTAGAAGGCACATATTCCAGACCAGTTCTGCAACACAAACTACCAACAACTTTCAAGACTTAAATGTACAGCAACCATAAAATGTATAGTTATGTCTAAGCATAAGAAATAAGCAGTCTAGAGGGTAAGAAATTTAAGAAAAACTGCAGGTATATACAGGCAGCTGCTAAAGGCTGGAGTGGGAATATATTTAGCAGTGGATATTTGCTGCCATTGAATGCTTAAATCAGTGCAGGTGGGGCATTCAAAAGGCTTCTGAGGGGTCAAGTTGCTCCAGATATTTTGCAAGGTTATATTGTCCATGAATGAATGATTTTGCTTTATGTCCCTGCACAGGGGAGTCAGAGGACAGTGTTCCTTTCTTAGTCCCCAAGGATTCTCATCTGTTGTGAATAGCAAAAGCCCAAGGTAGGAGGATGGATCAGAGATCTGAAATCCAGAGCCTTGCTGGAATGCGTTGTCCTTAAAAGCAAGCATCTCAGTATGATAAATACGATCTCCTCAAGCCCGTTAGGGAATGGAAATTTAAGAACCGGTTAGGTCAAAGATCAGGAAATTTATGACGATTATCTGCGGTTACAGTGTAGAGTGTTTGAGGATGGTTTAAGCCAAAGAGTCCAGTGCCTGTAAATCTTGAGAGTGATATTAATACCTCCGTGAACATGTGTGTACAACGTTTCTGAAAAGATTGATTGCAAAGGCCAGTTCCCAGGAAAGACAAGCAGGTAATTGGCATTTAATTAATGAGAATAAGTTATATTAAATTAAAGACTTATAATCCTTGATTATTTATCTTCCTGTAGCCAGTGTGACAATCTACTCTTAGATTATTAACTCACCACTGTATTTTTAAGAGGCCAAACTAAGCCGTCTGTTCAGACTGTATAAATAGGAATATGTTTGCATCTCAACCATGGGAACAATATCCTTTGGGAACTCATGAGAGGCTTCTTTCTAATATAAATGATTTTTGAAAAATTGAATCCATGCAGAGCATCCAAGGTATTCTTAGGTCTACTCCATATCCCCAGAATCCAGAAGAGTTGACATGAACCATTGTGTAGTAGGAAGGTTATGAACTTGAGGGTCAGCCTGACCTGACCTAGGATTGAGTCCTAACTCTGGCTTATATTAACTAAGTAGGCTTGGGTATGTTATTAAAATTATCTGGGGTTCAGTTATCTTATCTTCAAAAATGGGAAAATAGTACTGACCTGGAATATACTATTTTAAAAACTAAATGATACTGTAAATCCCCATGGTCCATTAGCTATCACATAGTACTCAATAAAAGCCCATTTTTCTCTTCACATTCTCCTTCTCCTTTTGTAGCACAGGATGATAGTGGTTAGAAAATGATTCAGAAACAAAGTTGGAGGCTTCATGCTACTTGAACAATTATGATAAATACACATTAATCAAGATACTATGGTACTGGTGAAGGGATAAACACATACTGCAGTGGAGTAGAATAGAAATTCCAGAAATAAAGCCACACAAGTATGACGAATTGGTTTTTGAAAAAGGTGCAAAGACAATTCAAAGAAGAAAGTCCAGTCTTTTAAAGAAATGGTGTTGAACAATTTAACTTCACATGCAGAAAAAAGTAAGTTGTCTCAAAAGGGATTATCTAAATGTAAAGCATAAATCTAGAAAACAGGAGAAAATATTCATAACTTGGAATGAGGTAGAGTTCTTACATATGACACCAATAATACAATACCTGATAGAAAAAAATTTGTAAGTTGAACTTCATTGAAATTTAAAACTTGCTCTGTGAAGTATGCTATTTAAAAAATAAAAATACAAATTACAGAGTGGGAGAAAATATTTTCACATCACATATCAAACAAAGATCTTGTAGCTAGAATATATAAAGAAGTCTTAAAATTCAACCAAATTAAAAATGGGTAAAAAGTTGAATAAACACATAACCAAAGAGGATCTGTGGATGGCAAATAAGCATAAGAAAAGATTTCCGACCTTATTAGCTACTAAGAAAATGCAAATTAAAACCACAATGAGATAACATTACATCCCTATTAAAATGGCCATTTAAAAAAAAGCCTGATAATATCAAGTGCTGACAAGGATGCAGAGCAACTGGAATCCCCATGCATTACTTATAGAAATGAAAAATGGTAGAGCCTCCTGGAACACAGCTTAGCAGTTTCTCATGAATTTAAAGATACATTTACAGATGATCTAGCAATCTCACTTCTGAATATTTACCCTAGAGAGATGATGACTCATGTTCACTCAAAAACCTGCATACAAATGCTTATAGTATCTCTACTTATAATCACCAAAAACTGAAACAATCCAAATATCCTTCAGCAGGTAAAGGGATAAACAAACAGTTGCACATCCATAAAGTGGAATACTACTTGGTAATAAAAAGGAACAAACTATTGGTACACACAACAGCCTGGATGAATCGCAAAGACATTATGCTGAGTGAAAGAAGACAGTCTCAAAAGATATATTCCACTTGTATGATATTCTGAAGAAAACAAAACTATACTGATCAGTGGTTGCCAGGGGTTAGGATGGGGGCAAAGCATGACTACAAAAGAGCAGCACAGGGGAGTTTTTGGGGCTGACAAAATTGTTTTGTATCCCGATTGTGGTAGTGGCTACACAAATCTATACTGTGTTAAAACTCAGAACTGCACACCAAAAACAAGTCAGATTAACTGTACATTAACTTTAAAAACAGGATAAAATTAAACATATTTTGAAAAATGATCCCAGCAAGAAGCCATTCTAACTTATGATAAACAAGGCATAACACCCCAGAACTCTGGGAGTCCTTAAATATAATTTGTTTATTATTTATTGGGCAAATGTTTATTGAGCACTACCTATGTGTTCACATTGTTTTAGGCACAGAGGATGAAGTTCTAAACATAACAAAAACTCCTGGGAGGTTATATTATAATAAATAGTAACTATATACTATGTCAGATGGTATACATACTCAGGTAAGCAGGATAGGAAATTGCAGGAGGTTGTGCCAAACCATCCCTGGACAGAGCTGATTTGGTTTGAGATAAAGGGAAGGGAATTTTCTATGGAAAATCTCTTACCCAAGGCCAAGATGGAACTCTGGTCTGAAAATCCTTTGAGTTGGAGGCATGCTTTAGGCCTGGATGATAAAGCCAAAGTCATCTAAAGACCACAGAGACTGTCCAGGATGTAGTGAGAGCAGAGATAGGGTTGTCTATTAGAGACTGTATCCAGGATGTAGTGAGAGCAGAGATAGGGTTGTCTATTAGGAAGGACACAGAGGGTGGGACACTGGCTGTGGGCTTCCAGTGATGTCCTGAGTACCCAGCAGGTGTGGTGGAGAGGCAAGACTCTGACCCACATGACTCATAGTTAATTTGAGAAAGAGAAACAACTGTCGATGAGAGGTGATCTCCAGATTGGGCACAAATTGAAGGTTCCCAAATACAAGGAGTGAATGTTCAGGGAAGTAGTGGCTGGGAAGAACCCTAGGATGGAAAGAGGCCAGCAAGAGGAACAGAGGGAAGACTTGAACCAAGCTGACAAAATGCCAGGACCCAAGCATAGAAGGCAAGATACCGGATAAAGTGTTTGGAAAGAAGCTAGTGGACACACTTTGCCTTAAACCCTGAGCACATTTTAAAATAGGCACTTCTTCCTCAGATATTGCTGCTTCCTTCCTCCTGGTTCAGTGACTGCTCCTTGAGTCTATCTTGGAGGTGAGCAAACCTTAAGTGGGGAGCATGAACACTCTCTCCCATCTGTCTATCCATTACTATCTCATGCTCCTGAGCTCCAGCTCAGGGAAATCCAAGGGAACCCGTCCCCTTTAAGAACCAGTGGCTTGCAGGGACTGGCTTTCTGCCAGGGTAGAAAAGTAGAGCAGGAGACATTTAAAGCCCTGTTTGAAAACTGTCATTTTTCCAACGACCTCAGATGGGGTGATTAATCAAGAAGCAATTCCGGAGAGAAGCCATCTTCTTTACCTGCTTAAATCTCCCAGGTTAAGTTGTATTTTAAGCCCTGGCTTATTTTCAGACAAGTTTGTTGCTGTTGCCTAACCCTATGTTAAAGTAATTATTGTCTGCGAAGGTCACACAGAGTTCAGTGGAACTGAAAAACTCACAGCCTTTAGTATTAATGGGGTAAGCAGCCTGTTCAGGGCCTTTTCCTTAAAGAGACAGACCGGTGAGAACAGTCAATAAGGACAAAAAAGCATTTGACATTTCAAGAGAGAGAAGGCTTATTCTTTTTGTGGCTTCTGGCAAAGACCCCAAAATCAAACAAAGAAACCATTAGAGGGGAGTCAATCGCTATCTTCTACATGCCAGTGTTCAAAAATGTTGTTGAATTTGTTATTTGAACTCAAGTGGGAAGTTAGAAATTCAAAGTGGAAGGAAGAGAAATAGTATAGTTTGAACACCTACCATACACCAGGTGCTTTACATAATTACCTTAATTCTCACAACTACTTCTTTGAAGTAGTTATATGTACTACTATTATATGTACCATTGCAGATGAGGAAACTGAGGCTTAGAGAGGTAATTTGCTCTGGATTACACACTTAGTAACTGGCAGAGCCAGGATTAGCATCCAGGTTGGTGTGACTAGAAAATGCAGACCCTTTTCATGTGACTTCCTGAATCACATTAATTTAAAGCCTAATGTTGGGGCTTTAGATGTGAAGGTAACTGGGGAGGTTGAATTTTTCCATTTTTAAATTGATATTTGATTCTATAAATATATATTATGAAATTCATTTCAAACAACACTTTTCAGTTTGGCTTCTATGTTGATTGGAAAATAATGAGAACTAATAGTTAAGACTTAATAAATGCCAGACATTGAAGCAAAATGACATGATCTTATTGAATCCACACATGTACACATATGATTAAACATTTAGAAACATACACAATCATTCCATTTTACAGAGAAGGAAATTGAGGCTTAGAGAATTCTTGTTCATATATCACAGGCAATATGTGGTAGAGCCAGGATGCGAACCCAAGCAATTTTATGTGAGAGCCCACTATCCCACCAACTGTTTCATTCAGAGACCATGGCTTCTACTGCCTGCCCCACCAACTGATAACGTTAGGTACCTGGCCCAGATTTCCTCAATGAGGAACCTGAGGGCTGGTCTACAATCACGTCCAAAGTACAGAGTGTATGAGCAGTGCAAGACAAAGACTGAAATGACCACACCAAAGAGCAATTAGCCTTTGTCTTTTAGGCCATTCAGCAAAAAAGCTGCTGAGCTTCCCTCCAGAGGGAAGCCACTTTATAAAGGGAGTTGGGGCCCAAAGCCACTGGGCCTGCAGTTCAGAATCAATTCCCTAGCTTCTTTGAAGCCCCTAGACAGTTCCATCTCTTCACTTCTGGGATCTGCAATCTATCTGTGGCCTGGTTGTGGTACGTTGTTTAATGGCTGCAAATTTTTTCCATTCCAGGATCCAGGCCCCTGTGCACTATAATTTTGCCACTCTCCTGTCAGGGACTAGAGTCTATTTCTCCACACCTTTGAATCTGGGCTGGTGGTGTGACTTGCTTTGATCAGTTCACTTCCATCGTCTTTGAATGCTGCCCTGAGACCACCATACAAAGAAACTGGTCTCATTGACTAGAAGATAAGAGGCCCCATGGAAGGAAGGGAGGTGCCTTAGCCAACAGGTAGCACCACTGCCAAACATGTGAGAGGGGCAGCCATCTCAACCTTTGGGCCCAGCTAACCTTATAGCTGAATGCAGCTGCCAGGCAAAACTGGCACAGCAACCTTGGAGCCAAACCAAAGGATCCTAAAAGATATAACAATAAGTTGTTGTTTTAAGCCACTAGGTTTTGGGGTACTTTGTTACACAGCAAAGGCTAACCGAAACAGTCTTTCTTTGAAGTTCAGAGCAGCATAAGGGTGCACTCTTGGTTGACATATTTCAGCGCCTGCCACAGGGCAATCAATGGCAGTGATATATTCTCCAGACTCCGGCCTCCATTACCATAAACTCCTCCAGGGACCAAAGGATGGTTTCAGGGCTTTTTTATACTTTGGCCAACATAAGTGGATACCCAGACTATTAGGCTGTCAACATTTGAGGCCTAGAAAAAGTACTGTAACTTTTCCTTAAAGAGACAGACCAGTGAGAACAGTCAATAAGGACAAAAACACATTTGACATTTCAAGAGAGTGGAGGCTTACTATTTTTGTGGCTTCTGGCAAAGACCCCAAAATCAGACAAAGAAACTGTTAGAGGGGAGTCAATCACTATCTTCTACATGCCAGTGCTCAAAAAGTGTTGTTGAATTTGTTATTTGAACTCAAGTGGGAAGTTAGAAGTTCATATTTCTGGCATATTTTAAAAGAAGCTGAGAATCAAAATTAGTAAATATCTAGTTGAATATCTGTGAAATGTAAGAAATGCTAGTTAGATGCCTGCATTTCGACACTTACATACTAAATATATTTAATGTGGACTGTTATTCTTGAATAGATGATATAAGAGGCTTTTTTCCTAAAAGGCAGGTGATCTGGGGCCCATGAAGATATTGAGTAGCTGTGGGTATTTTGTGTGTTGATGGACTTGGGAACTCTGTGTATTTGACCATTAACTTGTACTCTGATGCCCCAAATTATTGCTGTGTTATGTTATCTGGTCTTTAGGGAGAACATTAGCTGTGAGGTTCCAAAAACTAAGGGCTCCCTATCTACCTGAGTCAGTTTCTGAAAAGGCTAACACCTGCCTCAGCCTCTCAGAGACTCCTTGATCCAGAGTCAAGGCAACCAAATTGGGCAGAGTGACAATAGAAAAGTAACAACATATTTTCTAGAGAAGCAGAAGATTGTGGTGGCACAGTGTATGATAGGATATGTAAATGAAGCCATTCAGGATTATTAAATTTGTCATTGGTTAACTGAGAATTATTTTAAACCTAAATCCTACCTGAGGAAAGGAAGCAGGGAGTCCCTGAATTTCTGCCCTTCAGAATCATAACCACCAGCATACATTTTATGAATACATAGAAGCAAAAGCTGGCATAGCAGCTTAGCAGGAGGACCACAAAGAATTCCTATTTCATATTAACCCTCAGTGAATAGACAATCCCCAGGGCATCATTTTCAAATATAAGGGTTGGCCACTTTTGCCTGAGTGGAGTTCTTAGTTTGGTTCTGCGGGTGACCACACACACTATGTTCCACCTCATATCCTATCTCTTGTAGTTGGGAATGTACCCAACCTCAGTCAAGGCTCCCGAATTCAGTCTAAGCTGTCAAAAGGCTCTGCTGGAGGAAGAGGTCAGCTTCATCGCTAGAGGCCACTAAACTCATTAATCACTTTTGCAAGGCAACTGCTTGGTGGAGGGGCCTTGTTAAAAGCCAAGATTGCTCTGAACTTAATCTAACACAGTTGGTCCTCTAGAGAGGTGCTGAGGGGTTGTTTATGAGAATGGGAAGGTAATCAAGACACCATCAGAGAGAAAACTGAATAATTTAGGTCATGTTCATCTCTCTCTCTCTCTCCCTCTCTCTTTCTCTCTCTCCCCTTTAGTAAACCCTGTGAGCATCTCCAAGGCACTGAGGACAAAAATATGTTCTCTGCCTTCAAAAACTTCCTAGTCTAGAGGAAACTGGCATAGACACAATTAATTGATGATCTGATGAATTAGCATTGTGTGAGCTACAATCCTGGCATGAATCAAGAACTAGAGAGGCACACAGGAAGGAAGGAAGATGCCTCTCCTTGGTGAAGACAAAGAAGGCATGAGGAGGAGGCGACAGGGAAGCTCACCTGGTGGACAACAGGAAAGACTGCGGAGGAGGGCTCTGCTGGAAGAGGAAACAGACTGGGGAGGTGGGGCCAGTGCATAAAGGGCCACTGCAGGAAGGGGTTGTAGGAGAAAAGGAAAGACAGATCAGTCACTGATGACCCCCTCCACCCCAGGTCTGCAGACAGAGCTGATTCCTTCTCTAAGCCTCGGCATCCCCTACCAACAGTCCCTCCTGCTCCTTCTCTCCCAAGTCCTCTAAACAGCTTCATGCCCAAACCACAAAGAGAACATTCTCAGGCCTAAGGCAGGCCTTCCCAGCACAGAATGTTTGGAGCCCTCTGTGGGAGAGCGGCTGGCCCCCTTAACTGTCCCCCTTCCCTCCGGGAGCCAAGGCAGGCACTGTGCACCTGCCCCTGAATTGTGTGCGGCAGTTGCCGGCCTGGAGCTGAGTGACACAGCAGGTGCCTCCAGCCTGAAGACAATTCCATATTTCAATGGAGCGTCGCCACCAAAGCTTATTATCTAGGGCAATAAAGTTTAGGATTAGGGGGATTCAGGATGATTGTGTGATTCTCCACAAAGCTTATCTTCTAATAGACCAGCTGCTTTATTAGGCCGCCCCCACCCGCACCAGGCCCTTCCCAAAGCATCCCAAGTCCCAGGCAGCCGACGGGGGCCTTGAAGGCGGCAGTGGTAGACAGCTGGGGGTATCATATCACCCTCAGTCTCCATCTGCGATTATTAAATTACGGGCGGCTTCCAGCTGGGCACACCCCAGCTCCCACCTTCCTCCTACAAAGCCAGCATCATCGTCAGGCATCTGCCAAGGACACGATGTGGCTGCCTCTCCCCTGCTGATCCCTACTGTTGAACTCTAAAAGGGCCAGGTCTGGGTATTTACTTGCTATTAGGGCTGTCACTGTCACAGTGTGGAATGCAGTGGAGTGGAGGCCTGGAGAGAGGGGGGGACCATGGAAATTTCTGTTGCAAATGGGGCTTTGCTGGGACTGTTCACTATAAACAAAAAAAGAAGATGGAATCATGCACCACAGAACCTCAAAGAAGCTGGCATGCTTACCAAGCTCCCACATATTTCTCCCAAAATGAAATTCATTAACGTTGAGTGTTCTAGGGACCACCTCCACATGCTCCCTGATCCCATTGCTCCGTTCCTTTTCTGATGGGAGCAGAGCATGGGATGGTGTCTCTCCAACCCCGTGTGGTCAGCAGCACTGAGGCTACTCTCGTTTCCTATCCCTCCCTGACAGTCTCCTTTATCCTCAGCCCCTGACAGACTATCTGTTCAGAGTAGGAATTTATCAATAAGTACTGATAAGCATGCTGAAAGGAATATGGGGGACTGGGAATATGCCTGAAACATAATGAATGTTTCAAAGAAATGAAACGTTCTGAAAATGGAATTTTCAAAGATTCTGACAAGCACACAGCATCTGCTTGCAGATTTTAGGAAAACTTAGTCATAGAATTATTCAGAGTTCACATTTCAGCCATGGGGATGTTGTGTGCCTGTTGACAGCAGAGGTCCCTGTAGACGTTTGTTTTTTACTGTGTCTATGTGTGATTCACTAATGAGAGAGTGGCTTAGATGCTCAGAGTAATTAATTGTAGTATTGAGATAATAGTGGCTTTGAAATCCAGCTGTGCTTATATGCGTGCACGCTGTGCAGTTAGATGCTCCCAGGTTCAGATCTGCTTCCATCACTACTAACTATGTGGCCTTGTTTTCTGATCTGCAAGCCATGGATTGTATTGCTTACTTTGCGGGACTGTGGTAAACGTTAGGCATATATGAGGCAAGTGCAATGCCCAACATTTGGCAGATGCTTAATAAGTGTTGGCTATTATTATTACTACTACTACTACTATTGCTTTTGCTATTGCTATTATGTGTGACCTGTATAATAATCCTACTAATATGAGTGAAGGCAAGAATCATGGACTATGCACCCAGCATAATCAGGAGGGTTTGACTGTTGTGAATGAATTCAAGGGCAGGACAAGCAGCGACAAGAGTTACTGAAGTTCATCTGATTTGAGTTCTGTTCATTCATTTATTTGGGATCCAAATTCTGAACCCCAGCTCTGTGCTAGACACTGTTCTAGGTGCTGGGAAAACAGTCATGTGTTAGTCTGTTTTTGCTGCCATAAAGGAATCCCTGAGACTGGGTATTTTATAAAGAAAAGAGGTTTATTTAAATCACAGTTCTGCAAGCCTAACACCTGGTGGAAGCTGCCAAGGCTTACAGCTTATACCCTCTCAAGCAGCACCCTAATCTATACCTTGAGCCAAGACTGGAATTGGAGCTGCCATGATGCAGGAAGCAGTGTCCCAAGGATGTGCAGAGCAGTGGGGTCCTGAATGTGGCCCCCCAAACCATTCTTTTCTCCTAGGCCTCTAGGCCTGTGATGGGGGGGTGGCCTTGAAAATCTCTGAAATGCCTTCAAGGCCTTTTTCCCATTGTCTTGGTTATTAGCACTTGGCTCCCCTTTAGCCATGCTAATCTGTCTAGCAAGTGGTTGCTCCACAGCCTGCTCATATTTCACTCCTGAAAATGTTCTTTCCTTCTCCACCACACAACCAGTTTGTGAATTTTCCAAACTTTTATGCTCTGCTTCCCTTTTAATTATCAATTTCCCAGCCTCAGATATTCCTTTATAGTAATGCAAATGGACTAACAGAAGCAATGAATAAGAAGGGGTCCTGGCCCCTCTACAACTCATCTTCTATTGAGAAAGAAAGAAGAAAAAATGAAAATAAGTTAAAAAAACTCAAATTTTGATAAACCCTATGAAGAAAATAAGAAATGGGATAGAAGTTAGCTGGCATGGCAGGGTGGAGTGGGTGAGTGACATTAAGGAGGGTGACAACAGAGAAACTTTCTGATAAAAAACCCAGTAAGTAAAGGTCTAAGTGATGTGGATGAGGCAGCCACTTGAAGACCTGGGACAAAAGTGTTCAGGCAGAGAATATAGCAGGTACAGAGCTTTTTGTATAAGAAGGTAGCAAAAAGGCCAGTATAGCCAGAGAACAGAGGAGGTAAGGAGAAAGATAGGGGATGAGGCAGGTGCTAACTCATCAACATCCTTGCAGGCCTTGATGAGAGTTAAGATTTCATTATAATTGCAATAAGAAGACAGTGGAAGGTTTTTTGGCGGGGGTGGGGGTGGTCAATGACATGATTGGATTGATATGTTGGAAAAGCCCATCTGGCGACTGTGTTCAGTAACAGTGTGCTTGCATGAAGATCCCTCACAGCAGCAGACAACACAAATGCCCCCTCCCACCCATCATGAAAATTTGGAAAGCCAAGCCAATAGGAAACTGAAGCTACAAAGACCCAGCCCCTAGAAAGCAATATAAACAAGACCAGAAAAAGCATGTGTTCAGGACAAGTTCACATTGAAGTAAAACCATATTGACATTGATTGCATTCCCTACCTGCTTAGGGGTTTTGCTTCACCTAAACTAGTACCTTGAGAATCTGTAAAAGCTTACAATTTGAGAAAAGCAAGAGATGACACCTGATTATCCTTTGAATTGGCTTCCATGTCTGTGGCTGTTTTCCCTAAGTTCCTGTCCCTTACACACACGTTACAAAACTTTGTCTCAATTCTTTGCTTTTAAAGGATTTGACTTTAACAAATTCACATTGGGTACTTGCTTAGTAGGAAAGGAAATAATGACTCTCACCCCCTATGTTATAAAACTTTTAGGAGTATTACACACAGGCACATACAGGGCACACTGGTATGGCTTGTCATTTTGTGACAAATTCTTGTCAGTTTGTGGTCTGGTGGAAAGCATATGGAATTAGCAATCAAGAAAGGTGAGATTTAGTTCTGGCTCTGCTTCTAACTAGCAATGCAATCTTGGACAAGAGATTTATTCTTTCAAGTCTCAGTTTCATCTTGTCATATGGACATAGAGTGATACTTCCTTTTAAAAGAACCTGGGTATCCTGGCCAGGCGCGGTGGCTCATGCCTCCCAGCACTTTGGGAGGCCGAGGCGGGTGGATCACAAGGTCAGGAGATCGAGACCATCCTGGCCAACATGGTGAAACCCCGTCTCTACTAAAAATACAAAAATTAGTTGGGCGTGGTAGTCCCAGCTACTCGGGAGACTGAGGCAGGAGAATTTCTTGAACCCTGGAGGCGGAGGTAGCAGTGAGCCCCGAGGTCGTGCCACTGAACTCCAGCCTGGCAACAGAGCGAGACTCTGTCTAAAAAAAAAAAAAAAAAAGAAAAAAGAAAAAAGAACTTGGGTATCCTAAACATGGTTGAGAATCAAATGCAATTAAAAAAAATCCTCCTCAAAGACCAAACTAGGTATTATTCAATCCACATTTTAAAATTTCCTAACAGTACTAATAGGAATGGTCCTCTCTCCATACCTGCTTTGTCATACTTTATACATGTTGCTAACAAACTTGGTTATTGATTCCTGAACTCAATACATAACATTACAGAGTAGAAGCAGATTCAAAGTGAGAAAGATTCTTGTGCACTAACATCAAGGAAATAAGATTACATGTCTCTGTGTATTGGGAGTGTCTTTGTTTTTTGTAATCAGCATGATATCTAGCATGTAATAGGCACTCAATGTAGATGTTTGCTGAAATAAAATTGATGCTATCAATTGTCACTTTTTTTTTAAGGCAGAAAACTCAAGGATTCAAATAGAATTAAATGAATGTCTAGGTCAGTTAGGGCAAGGGCAAAGAAACTGAAATGGCTTGTTTCCTAAAATCATGGTAGTAAAATACACAACCAAGTATTAATCTTGTACCCCAAATAAATAGATTATGGACAATATGCTCTATTTTAAAAGGCAAGGAAGCCTTTTACATGTCTCAGCAATAAACTCATTTAGATTTTTAAAACGTGAACTGTCAATTATCCAGAAAATAGAGCTATCTAGAATAAAGTATTGTTTATTTATACAGAAATATTTATTGATCACATACTCTACACTGGGAAAAACAGACATGGCATAAACAGACAAAATCCCTTGCCCTCATAAAATCCACATTCAATTGGTATAGTTAGAAACTAAGCAAGTAAACATGGAAATGCATAAGAAATTTACCTCAGAATCTTGGTGACTGAGGGTGTCATTTAATAAAACCTCATAAGTCCATCTAAGGAATAATTAGAAAATTAAATGTAAATGTGTTTCAAAGTTAAATGCACTCTAAAGATGTAAAGGTTTATTAAGTAATAAAATTTATAAAGAAAACTGTCAGTTACTCATGTTCTTCTGATTTACTATGTATCATTTGTGCAAAAGTAATTGCGGTTTTTGCCATTACACCGATTTGAAAAATAAAGTAAGTGAAAAAATCAAATTGCAGGAGTATGTAGTATAGTATACATATATATAGTATGACTTCACTCTTGATTATGTATTGAACATCTCTTCAAGGGCTCTCGCTTAAAAAAATACATATAATGTTTTATTTTATTTTATAAGGGACTTGTATTGCTATTGTAATCTAAGTGTTTCTAATGCAAAAAAGTAGTCAATGGAATGTTCATGGGCCTCCATAAATAGGCACGTGTGTGTTCAAAAGAATCAGAACGTGTGTAAGATGGCAGCCATTAAACATGAAAAGTCTGCTGTATCCAGCTTGGGTAATGAGGTAGAGAGAAAAATTCATCAAGATGAACTTGGAGATAATTCCTTTAGCACAGAAGGCAGAAACGTTAATTGATGGATGTGATGCCCACGCAGGACAACACATTTAGCCCCCGAACATGACAGCTTCAGTTGGCCAAAGTAAAAATAAAATGAAATGAAATGAAAGCCTCCTGAATTGAGGTATTGGGGAAGAAGAGAGAGATGACTTTATTGGATACCAAACATCTATTTTTCATTCATACATGAAGCTAAATCTAATTGGGAAATATCATAGTCATGATCCTTGGGACAAAAATCAGGACAGGATCGCCCTTTTTTCTTCCTTCCTTTGTATCTTTTAAAAACTATTATTATTAAATAATTCAGGCCAGGCACAGTGGCTCATGCCTGTAATCCCAGTGCTTTGGGAGGTTGAGGCAGGAGGATTGCTTGAGGCCAGGAGTTCAAGACCAGCCTGGGCAACATAGTGAGAGTTCCTCTCTACAAAAAAAAAAAAAAAAAAAAAAAAAGTGATAGCCAGGAGTGGCGGTACGTGCCTTTAGTCCAAGCTACTTGGGAGGCTTAGGCAAGAGTATCGCTTGAGAATGAGAGTTCAGGGTTATCGTGAGTTATTATTGTGCCACTGCACTCCAGCCTTGGTGACAGAATAAGACCTCGTATCTGAAAAAAATTAATGAATTTAAATAAATAAATAACTTCTCTCAAGGTGAAGTATAAAAAGAAAAAAGGAAGTTTTCTTTTCATGAGAAGCTATTTCCCTTGGAAAAAGCTACAAAAATCTATGCTTGTGTTTTCTTAGGTGGATGACTTGAGAAACATGGTCATGATTTTAAAGATCATAGTCAAGGTGAATAAATCTTACACTGAACTCACCCTGAGCCTCACATTACTACAGAAGAAAACAAATCTTCCTGATCCTGACAAATCCAAATTGAAGACTGCCTGCCTAGACAAATCCCAGCTTATCAATCAGGCGGCTGGGAGGAAGCTAATCCAAGCGCTGGACCCCTGTGCCCCAGCCTGCCTGGCATTCACTGCTCTCTCTTTTGCTCTATGCTTCTCTCCTCTGAGTACACAGGTTATTCAAATGGTGTGCCAATTTTAGACCAACAGACAACCCAAACAACTGGAAAAAAAAAAAACAGGCAGAGGTGAGAAGAATGCTTACAGTGTTTATGAACAAAATTCAAGATGTTTTCCTCCCAACAATTTGCATTTGCCTGGAGCAAAAGAAACTGAACCTAAAGATAAAAGGGAGGCAGAGGCTTGAAGCTAAACAGAGCTGGGTTTAAGCTCTGACTCGGCTCTGTGCTAGCTGTGCAACATTGGGGAAGTTACTTCATCTCCTCTGGCCTCAGCTTTCTCTTCTGTGTATTGGAGATAATCATACCTACCTGGGCATTATGTGAAGATTAAGTGAGAAAATGCAAGTCAAGGGTTTGGCACAGCTTGTCACATAGTGAGCATTCAATGTTTGAAAGTATTATTACTGAGAGAAAAGCAGTTCAATTCTGAGTTGGGATTCTGAAGGAAATTTGTATAATTGACCAAAGAACATCCTGGAATATGAGATTGTTCCAGAATGGCATGGGTAGGAATGTAAAAATGGGTAGTTTTGTCCCTATTGCTAAATCATAGTTACACAGATGTACTGAAAGCTTTAGGTGAATTATATAATTTCTCTGGGTTTGGATATCATTGTCTTTAAACAGATAATATTTATACCTAATCCTAATGAACTCAGAGATCATGTAGCTTTGCTTTAGAGTAATGTCACATATCATAAGCACTGATTTCAACAGCCCAAAAGTTGTTGA
Source organism: Homo sapiens (assembly GCF_000001405.40). Lineage (NCBI taxonomy): Eukaryota > Metazoa > Chordata > Mammalia > Primates > Hominidae > Homo > Homo sapiens. The sequence goes on along the minus strand of NC_000011.10, from coordinate 30,381,259 downwards.
AAAGATATCCTCATTTTTTCTGGAATCCTGCAGACTTTATAGAGGATTTAATACTTGGTTTACAGCAATATTAAATCAACCTTTGCACTTTCCCATCCACTTAATTTACTCCCTGCAGCTGCTCCAAAGACTCTCCCTTCAAATACTATGAAAAACTAAACCCATCCTCCACCACCATCTCCATGTCATTCTTCCACTCTTTACCCCTCTCTTCTATCAGCATCTTATTAATTATCTCAATGTTTGGCCTCTCTCCCAGCAAGAAAGAATCCTTCTCCTTTGAAAGGGAGGAATACAAGGAAAGATTAGGTGGCTATTACAGATGTCTCTTTGTTGGGCTAGAAGTCTATGAACATTAAAAATGTTTATGCTCTCATAGCTGCCTCATAAGGTTGTTATGATTAAATGAGATAATGTATATAGAATTTAAGCAAAGTGCTTGAATGTAGCAAGTGCTCAATAAATTGTATTTTTTATTACTATTACCTTTGGGCTGATGATGGTCCATGCTCGGCAAATAGTATAAATTAGTAGAAGAAACAAGCAACAAAGTTAGAATGCAGAGACCAGAGTTCAACCGTGTTCATAGATATTGATCTTATGATCCTTATATTTGACATCTTATCCATCTATACTATTGTACCTACTTGCTCCTTCTTGTCTTAGCTGACTTCCTTAGAAATGACCCTTTGTTTTCCTGGAGAATCAATCAGGGTTTTAACTGCCCTGGTCCTCCCTGTTGGTACTATCTAATTGTGACCCTTATCCTGGAATTCACAATATTTTACATTATATCAGCATATGTTAATAAAGATCTTTAGCCGTGAGTACTCATTCATGATAGGCTCTGGATTAACCTGATGTAGGAATAAGGAATATTTCCTACCAAATCATTTGGCTAGCCTCCTGATAATCTAAACTTCTGTTTTCCATGTTTAGCTGAGTAAGTAGTACAGGAAGTTCCAGGTTACTGCAATCTTAACTAGTATCCTCAAATAATGAGGTGTTGATTCTTTTCTGCTTGCAAACAAACTTCAGAATAAACAAGTAGAATGTTTATTTATCTGCCGTGCTTTCCTCTGAGCATTTTCTGGTAATATTCTTGGGAACTGGTCTCATAGTAACTGACACTTGGTTGGAGATACTCCCACCCCTTGCCTACACACATACTTTTAAAAATCAAGCTTCAATTTTGGTAAAAGTTTATTGATATTGTCCAGCTCTGACAGCCCCAGTTCTACTACAAGACCTGTTCAGAGGTGAAATGGACTTAGTAATGCCTTCAACTTTCATTACTCAGCCAGATTGTGGAGTCTATCAATAATCCCAGCATTGACAGTCAGGTGAATTAATTGGTACATTTGACAAGGACAGCTATTACCCTATGTTGTTCTGACAGCTGGTTTTGATATCAGGAATTTGTCAACCTCCCCTTCACGGGAGCAATGGGAGGGATGGTTGAGTGAATCAAGAGAGGACATTCAGAATTTTCTTCCCACCCTCAGCAGCTGCAGCTAGCCCTCCTCCTAAATACAATTGCTGACATTCTTAACCTGAGCATCCTAGCACGTGACAGACTTCCACAGTACAACAATCTATACCAAATGGGGCTGAAAAAATAATAATAAAAAAAACAGAAAAGTTGGTAAAGTTATTAACACCGAACTGGGAATATTTTAGTAATGATTTTAGTGAGCTTCAGAGACTAGCTATACTCACCGTACTCTACTTTCTTGGATTCATTCATCTGACATGAGTGGGTTTTTCATTTCCATCACTAGATAAGGTGGCTTCAAGATGGTCATACATGTAGCAAGTCGTAGTCAACTTTATCTGAGAAGATGTTCGAAACATAAAGGTGCAAACAATAAATATCTCTTAGGGTCCTTTTCAGCTTTATGATTCTTATGGTTCAAAAACCATTTGTATTTTCTACAGCCACTTCTTGGAATTATTATAGCCAAGTGACTTGGGCTAGTGAAAGAAAACATAACAAGACAAAAGAAGAAGCAGGATAACATAATGACTTTTTGTGTGATTTTGAAGAAGTTACAATCTTTCTATGGAATTCTACAACATGCCCGTAAGATGGGGAAACTATCCATTCTACGGCTTTCAAATACAATTTTCCAAGATAAGGGAGGTAGTAAGACTGGGATAGAAATTTGAACTCTTCGGAAGACAAGCACAATTAACCCAAGTCATTACTCTCACATTCCTCCTGGGTTTTTGCTGGGTGCAAAAGAAGAACCAAAGTGCTGATTTCATTGGGATGCTGTAAGGCCAGGTGTTATTCGCGCTATGCTACAGTCATTTGCTATAACTAGTCTCAGACATTAATGCTGACCATGTGAGTTAACAACTCAGTAGGTCTGGGATTGCCCAGGGTTGAGCAAGAAGTGCTGAGCAGTAAATGTAATCCACAATCCATAAAATTAAGCCTGGTGGAGAAATGCAGTTCAAGGACATTTAAAACAGTTAAGCAAGAGGAAAAGCAAAACTGATGTTCAGTTACATTTTCTGGGTGGCATGTTGGGCTCATGGTGTGGAAGTGACACTTTGAAAAGGCTAATGTCAAAGCAACTGCCTCCACCGTTTAGTGAATCGCTGAGCCTTTCCCTCAGGATGTGATTAGGTCTTTGAGAAGCTTGTAGAGGTGTTTCTGGAAGCTGTCTGCTGTGGATTCCCTCTCAACTGCTGAACATGCCATGCTATTAATCTCACTTCTGAGCCCTCAGTTCCTCTTCATAAAAAGATTGTTGTTTCGTGTTTTCTGCTCTCATTATTCCCATCTCTCTCAGCCCCCCTCCCCAAGATTCTACTGTGAGAACAAAGTTGGAGACAGAAGGAGGAGCATGAGAGTACGACAGACAGGTAGAAGCAGAGACTCTGCAGCGTGATATCTCTGAAAACTCATTAACACCCAGTCTTCCAAGCTTGAGCCTGGGAGACAATGGCCATGGGTAATGACTGTGCAGCCTCTACTTAAGTAGCTCCACTGTTCACAGAACTCATTGCTCCTTATAGCTTCCCTCTGCGTCTTCGGAAGCCTCTGAATTTAAAAATATATTTTTAAAGTGACCTGAAATCTGTCCTTCTGTAACTCCCATCATTAAAGTTCTAGCCTTCTGGTACTGTATAAAACAAATCTAACCATCTTTGCCTAACAGCACTTTGAAAATAGCTAACGCAGGCCTCATGAACAGGGATGAATTCAAGTTTTATGAGACCCAACATTTATACAATTTGAGAGGCTCTCTTTAAGACAACTAATATAAAAGTAATTACAAAGTTAGGTGCAAAAGTAATTTTATTTTGAATAGAAAAACATAATAAAGTATAGATTTTAAAAAGCTAACAATAATCCAGACATCACAAAAGTCAGAAAAATAACATAATTTTATTAATTGTCTAATCTCTTTATTATTTTTATTTCCTACATTTTTTGAATCAACTCTTATTTAACAATCATTTTGTAGTATTATTTTCTAAAGCAAAAATAAAGAGATAATTCAGTCTTGTCTTTATCATCAGAATTTGTTTTTTTATTTTGGTAGGTTAGAAAAGTTTTTTTAGCTACACCAGTTGTGATGAGTAATATCAATAAATTTTTAGGATTGTTGTCAAATTCGTGCAAGCCTCTACATGTTTCTTTTATATGTGAGCTCTAAGATTTGGAAGAATTTTCCATAGACCAACTTCTGGCTCTAAACATTTCACACCTTGCTTCTCTACACTAGTCATAAGCATCAGATGCCAGGCACTATATGACACTGGTAGTTCACACAGCTGCTGGTCTTGTATCTTCATGACACAGTTGAAGATGGGTGAGCCAGCCAGTCAAGGAAAGAAATATTCCTGGAAGACATTTTTACCCCAGGACAGCTAAACCTACTTAACTGTGTACCGAAGTGAATGCAAACCACAAAGATATATCTTACTACACTCAAACTAAATGTATCTTCATCTCAAGTTCTCCCTAGCTAGAGATGAAAATACCCATGGCTGCTCCATTGCCCTCTGAAACAAAAGGGCATGTGAAGGAGGGGGAACCCAAGTGGAAAGAGACAATAGCCTTAACCAGTTGTAGTGACAATATCTTACTTTTGAAATGCTATTAAAACTGGTGACCATGTGAACTTATTGTTGGCCTTCTCCCTAGGCCTCAGGAGGGACCTGTGTAAATAAGAGGCCCTTAATCTTGAGCTTCATTGTCTTCACAGAAATCTGCCTCTGCCTGTGAGTCCTTGAAACAAACAAACAAAAAAAACCCACTTGGACAAAGAGATTCCAGTTCCCCTTACAATAAGTTCTAGGGACTAGTGAGGAGTGAGAAAACCAGTAGCTTTGCATAGGATCAGGAAGTAAGCCAGTCACGTGCCCTGTAATAGCTACAACATTTGGACATGGCACAAAACACGATATGCATTTACTGGCAAATTGACTGATCCGCACTTTTGGGGCTGTTGTATTTTCTTCCAGTAAAAGTCCTTGCATCCTCAAGGCTTTAACTGTGGAATGGAAAAACTGGTGTTAAATTGTGTCTTATAAAGCCAGAATCAACCATGGTTTCAGGAATCAATATTACTTAGGAGGGAAAAATGTATGTGCTAGTCACATAACATTTCCATTGAGCACATAACCATTTAGCTCCCTGTTTCTTGTCTATGGCATGAGAAGGGAAAGGCTATCTAGAAACTAGATACATTTAGATGAATAGATGATGTTACCTCTCTCCTTTTGCACGTAATGTATCTTGGCTGATATTGTGTATTCATTTATTTATTTTAAAAAGAATGTATTCTACCGTCCCAACTCAGCTTCCGATTTCTCAGGGATAGGATTTTGTCATATTCTTAAAAAATTATTTTTCTATCCTCAGCATTAATATACCCTGTATATAGCAGGCATCATACAACATTATTAATGAGAGCTTTTTAATATATTTAAAGTACTCTATAGAGTTTAAAAATTGAAACAAAAATTGATTTGTATCTTTTTCCTGTTCTCATACTGTTCCTCTTTTTTCCCTTTCTCCTCTTTCTTCCTCTATCCTTATGCCTTAATTCATCCCTCTGTCTTTTGTCCTCTTGTTTTCACCAAGTTCAGGGCTTTGGAAACAGAAAGAGTTTGACTCCTGGCTTTGCCACTTACTGGCTGTGTGGCTTTGGGCAAGAGAGTTAACCATTTGAGCTAGAGTTCCTGCACCTACAAGATGGGGCTAATAAGAGATCTTCTCAAAATTGTTGTGTTCAGTTGATGAAAGAATACAGTGAGTCTCAACCCTTTTGGAACAGATGCTGTAATAATTTTATTGCAAATATTTTGCAAATACCTCCTTTGCTATCTTGACAGAAAATTCATAAATTATGTAACCTACATACACACATAATAAAAAATCCATATAATGCCCACATGTGACATAAAGATATAAAAGAAATTTATAATGAAATAAAGTTTAAATGCTGAGGCACAACTACACTAGATGATATAACTAAGTGATGTGATTTTGCACCTACATTTTTCACCATATATGTGACAGGTACAAATGCAGACCAGCACAGGTATGTAGTATTAACACTCAAGTATCACAGAGCACAAAATAAAGTGCGGTCTTCCTTCAGCTTACATCATAGTTGCATTCCTAGAAAGTTATATGTATGTAAAAACTGTGAATGTAAAAACTATGCAAAAAATACTTCGTAAGTAAAATGAACGCAGGTTCTAGGCCTAGATAGTCGCAAACAAGTTTTTACCTCCAAAGCTGTTCCAGTGGGCCCTTTGAAATTCATGTAGTATGCAGGATAATTCTTCCTCATGCAGAGCTGTTCCAGGCATTGCAGGTTATAGAGCATAATGCATTTTTGGTTCCCACTTGTATAGTTTTTTCCAACACCAGCTGGGTGTCCAACAATTCAATTCAATTCTGACACTGTCTGGAATTAGTGCAGATGCCACAGGTTAAGGACTTAGTCCCACAAAATTGTCCCACTTCAGATGCCAGCTGCAAATGGGGTGCCCGAGCTACCCAGACGTCTGTTCAACCAACTACAAATAGAGGGGTTTCCACCCTTCAAAATTCACTAGAACAACTTGTAGAAGTCAGGAAAGTACTATACTTCCTATTACAAGTTTATTATAAAGGATACATTCAGAAACAGCCAAATGGAAGAGATGTGTAGGGCAAGGTTTGGGGTGGGAGAGAGGGAGGGGCAGAGCTTTCATGCTCTCTCTGGCCTGGCACACCTCCCTCCTGGCACATTGATGTGTCCACCAACCAGGAAGCTCTCCAAACCCTGTTGTTCAGACTTCCTTGGAGGTTTTATAACGTAGACATGATTGATTAAATCACTGACTATTGGTGATTGAACTCAAATCTCTTAGTTTCTCTCTCTTTCCCAGAGGTTAGAGAGGGCTGGTGCAGCAGGTTGGGAGTAAGCTGAAAGTTCCAGCCCTCTAATCATGGTTTTGTCTTTGTGGTGACCAGCTCCCATCCTGAAGCTATCTAGCTCTGGCTCTTCACCCCAAGAAATATCTCATTAGCATACAAAAGATAATTATCACTCAGGAGACTGAGTTTTAGAAGCTATGTGCCAGAAAAGGGGACAAAAAGCAAAATATTTATTTTTATTATATAATACACCACCCCATAAATGGCAGCAGTACTCTTCCATTTTTATCACAACAAAAAAGTGGTTCCACAAATTTTCAAAATGCCATTTGGAGGTGGCATCCCCTTGACTGAGAGCCACTAAAATAATAAAGCTCTGGGGTTCAGGCCTGTAATCTCAACACTTTGGGAGGCTGAGGCAGGAGGATCACTTGAGGCCAGGAGTTTGGGACCACCCTGGGGAAATGGAGAGATCCCCATCTCTACAAAAAATTTAAAAATTAGCCGGGCTTGGTAGTGCATGTACCTGTAGTCCCAGCTCCTCGGGAGGCTGAGGTGGGAGGATCACTGGAGCCCAGGATTTCAAGATTACCCTGAACTGTGATCATGCCACTGCACCCCAGCCTGTGTGACAGAGGAAGACTATGTCAATAATAATAATAATAATAATGCAGTCTCTAAGTAGCTAGTGTAGCGCATAGATTACAGAATTGCAATCCAAATTAGCTGCTTTTCCTTTTTCCCTTCCTGTCTTTTCCCTCCCCATCCGTTTGCATGTGCCCTGAAGCTCTGAGGAATTGCAAAAGGTAGAAAAACAACTATTTCCAAATCACTCCACTGGGGATAAAGCAATGAGAAAAACAAACGTCAGTTAACTATATAAAAAATATATATATTCCTATCCATGGACCCTTAGATATTCTTTCTGTCCTGCAAGACATCTGTACTCTATCAAGGTACACACCCACCTGATTAACTTATTGGTAGATGGGAACTTCATCATGTTCAAATAATTTAGAAGAAGTAGCTGCCAAAGATTAAGGAAATAGTCTTGGTTGTGTTTGCTTTGAATGGTATTGACATCAAAGGTGACATCAGACTTCCCTATGGGCTTCTGTTTAGTTTCACAGGGAAACTGAAAAGGAATTGCCTGTTAAAGGAAGAACACATTTGGCAACAGGAATTCTAGTGAGTACTTTTGTGGTACCGACAATAACCAGTGCCAGCTGATTCCTGGTTCGAAGGAGTATGTGTCCTTTGGGGAATGACCACAAAACTTTCAACTTGAGGTTGGGGGCAAGAAGGGGCTTTGGAGAGATAAGGTGATAATAAATTTAGTTAATTAGAATTCTTTCTGGAACTCATTTTGATGCTCTTATCTGCCAGCTCAGCGTGCGTTATGGATGTTAACTCCTTTATCCTCATAACTTTTCTCTGAATTCATTATAGAACAGAGACATGATAGTATTTCAAAAGACAAAGTATTTCAGAGAGAAAAAAGAACAATTGTGGTGAATGGGTGAAAATCTCTCAGATTCATTGTTCTTATGGAAGTGGTGGTGCCTTGATGAGACAATGTTGAGAAAAAAAAATCAGACACCTATCAAGGTTTTCATTAAAATATTACTTGGCATTTGATGTATTATGAATATAATAATAATAATAACATGTCTCCTTAGTGCCATGTATTGAAACAAGCATTTCAAATCCTCATAGCAGTGCAAGGTAGGTTCTATCATCTCATTTTACAAATGAGAAAAACCAGGCTCCGGGAGGTTAAATACTTCGCCAGAGGTCCCACAGCTCAATAGAAGTCACTGAAAGTAGGTGGGAATGGAATCCACCTGACTTCAGAGCCCTGGGGTTTTCGACTTCCCTACTCTCTCTGGTTTAAAATCTCCTAGAGTAAGCTCTTCCTCTCTTTTGTGCTGCAGTAATGCCTAAGACTTTCAGGGATGGAACAGGCACATGTTTAAAAATATACATAAAATTTATAGGCAAAAGAAAAGTTTAATCAATTTGATCACATAAAAATAGAGAAAAAGTTTGCAGGACAACAAACACCATATTAAAAAGACCAAAAGATAACCAAAACTAGGGGTGAAATATTTGTGACATATAACACAGACAAAAATTGATCTACTTACTACATAAAGAACTCTTGAAAATTGAGGGTTAAAGGACCAAAAGCATGCTAAGAAAATGAAAAAAAAAAAAGACATGAACAGACAGTTCACACAAAAATATAGAAAATAGCCCTTAGATATACAAAAAAAGTTCAGATCACCAATCATTATTAGATAAATGCAAATTAAACCAATACTTAACTTACGTAACTTTTCTCACCTATTATATTGGTGAAAATTAACAAGCAGACAATATATTCTGTTGGCAAGACTGTAGAGAAACAAGCATTCTTCTGCACTGCTGATGAGGATGCAAACTGGCACAACCATCCTTGGTGATAATTTGGCAATGCTTGACAAAACTACATACACACTTACTTTTGACCCAGGAATTCCAGTTCTAGGAACCTACACTGAAAATATATGTTCAGTACTATGGAAATACATACATGAAAGGTTATTCATTTCAGCATTGGTTGTAATTGCAAAATATTAGGAAGGAAAATGGTCAGATAGGAGAGTGGTTTTGGTTGAATAAACTATGGCTCATTCACTCAGTAGAGTACCATGTAACTGTAAAAAAACAGTTGATTTTTATATATCCTGTTACATCAAAAAAACAAAGCATAAAGTGTATTTATAGCATGCTAACCTTCATGTAAGAAAGACAGAGATATCAGAAAATATATTGGGATCTGCTAAGTTGTGAAAAAGAAATACAGGAAGGATAAACTAGACACTACCGGCAATAGTTACTGAAAGGTGCTGGGTGGGAACAGGGTGGAAAGAATGGGGCACTGGGTATGGGGTAGCAAAGATGATGGAAAATGACTCTTCTCTGAGTATATCATTTTTAGTGTCTAGCTCTGACTCTTAGTATATTTAGCATATCCCCAGAACAAATTTAAAAAGTTAAAATCAACCAAGATGTGAGGAGATTCCCAATGAAATACAAACAATAAACATGATCCCAATATATGACAAATTAATAATATAATTACACCAAAGGAAAGGAGAAGAAAAGAACTAACCTAAGTAACTTTGTCAAACAATATTTTGACTGTGTATTATTAGGCTAAAAATGAAACGAATTCTACAAAAAAATTGTATTCAAGTTGGCAAATTAAGTTTTTTGTTTTTGTTTTTTTCCACAGAGGTAAAGGCTAGCAATCCTGAAACACTTCATGTATGCTCCAGGATTGAACAAATAAGCAAATATATTGTGGATAATGAATACCAGGTCCCTCACTATCAGAGAAATGGTTACAAGTAAGACAATGGAAAAGGCTAGAATGAACATTGTAGTTTAATTGAAATTAGAGGGATCAGCATAAAATCATGGTTCTAGATAGATCACGTAGACAAATTAGATAGATAGATAGATAGACAGATAGATAGATAGATAGATAGATGATAGATAGATAGATAGACAGATAGATAGAATAATGGTTAATTTTATGTGTTGGCTTGACAGGGCCACAGGGTGCCCAGATATTTGATTAAAAATTATTTAGCATACATTTGTAAGTGTTTCTGGATGACATTAACATTTGAATTGGTGCACTAAGTAACACAGATTGCACTCCCCAGTGTAGGTGGGCCTCACTGAATCTTTTGGAGGCTTGAATAGACCAAATGGTAACAGAAGAGAGAATTATCTCTCTTTCCCTGACCAGGATATCAGTCTTCCCTTGCACTTGGACTTATATCATCGGTTCTCCTGGCTCTTAGGCTTTGGGACTCAGATTAGAACTACACCACTGGCTTTCCTACAGACAACAGGTTGTAGAACTTCTTAGTCTCCATAAATTGTGTGAGCCGATTCCATATAATAAATCTCTCTCTATATCTATAGATATAGAGAGAGGTTTATTATATTATATATATATATATGTTATAAGGAATTGGCTCACAAAATTATCTATATCTATATAGATATAGATATCTATATATAATATATATCTATATACATAGATATATGTAGTTATATAGATTATATATTATAATAGATTGTATATATTATCTATATCTATATATTATTTATATCTATATATAAATATATAATTCCTACTGATTCTATATATAGATATATCTTTGTTGCTGATTCTATATATATAGATACATATTTCCTATTGATTGTTTCTCTGAAAAACACTGACAGATAGATAAAAGATGGATTTATAGAGATATATAATAGATAGTATAAAAATCTATAAAAATAGATATAAAATAAAGAGATAAAATATATTAAAAAAACATAAAAACAAAGATGCTTCCGTGTGAATGTGTGTGAGTACACATTGTCTATTTTCTAGCCCTGTCCACTGAGAAGGCCTAGAACAATGATACCCTAGTAGCAAAGAGCACACTTAGTGCCTAGATATTGGTTTTTCCAATAAAAGGAACCAGAACTCCCTGGATAAATATTTGATTACAGGGCTGAGAAAGGGAAAGTACAAGATGACTTATAATATCTTGTGTGCCAGAAAGGAAAGAAGTGCTCAAAAAAAGGATGGGGACATGTTACAAGCAAGAATGAATCTGAAGGGGTTCTGATGGCCAAATCTGGGATGGTTTAAGTAAAAAAATCAAAACTCATGAATAAAATAAACAACCATTAGTTCACACCTACATAAAATATTTGAATAAATAAATATTCCTTACAGTAGATGTCCAATAGATCAATGTGGAAAGAATGATGAAAATAGAAAACCACCATTAGGAAAATAGAACAGTGATAACTTTGGCAGACAAGAATTATTAATGGATACCAAAATTAGTAGGCTACAAAAAGTGTGATGAGAAACAGGAATAGCTTCAAAATATCTTCCCATGGGACATTTATTAAGTGATCAAAGTTAATAAGACCAGTAATGAAATATATTGACATCATGTAGTCCAGATATGATGCACCTAGAAAAACACACCGTGACTTCTTGACATTTTCCCCAAAATGTCAAAAATGCCTGAATCTAACCTGAGAACATATCAGACAAATTCAAATTGAGGAACATTCTACAAATAACTAGCCAGAACTCTTTAAAAAGTGTCTAGGCCATTAAAGAAAATGAAAAACAGAAACTGCCACAGACTGTAGGAGACTAAGGAGACATGACTAAGTACAATGTGGGACACTGGACTGGATCCTGAACCAGAAAAAAAGACATTAGTGGGAGAATTGGTGAAATTCAAATGAATATCCCATCAATGCTGTATTAGTCCATTCTCACATTGCTATAAGGAAATACCTGAGGCTGGGCAATTTATAAAGGAAAGAGGTTTAATTAACTCACAGTTCAGCATGGCTGGGGAGACCTCAGGAAACTTACAATCATGGTGGAAGGCAAAGGGGAAGAAAGGGATCTTCTTCACAAGGCAGCAGGAAGCAGAAGTACAAGCAAGGGAAATGCCAGACACTTATAAAACCATCAGATTTAATGAGAACTCACTCACTACCATGAGAACAGCATGGGGGAAACTGCCTCCATAATCCAATCACTTCCCACTGGCTCCCTCCCACAGCATGTGTGGATTATGGGAACTACAATTCAATATGAGATTTGGGTGGGGACACAGTCAAACCATATAAAATGCTAATTACTTGCTTTCAATAATTGTACTGTGGTTTTGCAAGATGTTAATACAAGGGGAAGCTGAGGAAAATGCATATGAAAACTACTATTTTGTTTACCTTTTCTGCAACTCTAAAATTATTTTAAGATAAAAAGTTTAAAATATATAGTATGTTTCCTTATAAAAGTAATGCTTATTAATTATAGCAAATTGGGAAAATTTAGAAGCACAATTTTTTAAAAACAAACATCACTAATGCCGTCACCACAAGATCAAATCTGTTCTTATTTTGACATAATCACACATACATTAGTTTCCAAAATTATGCTAATAAAATATTCATTCGTATGTAACCTGCTTTTTTCCCCACTTAATATCACCAGCATTTATCCCATAGAATCAAAATTCTTTAATATTGTTTTAAACAGCAGCAAAGCATTCCATATACAGATATGTAAATTTATTTATTTTTTTATTTTAATTGTGAAATGATCCTTTATTGAAATATTTTTCTTTGTGCTTCTTAACTAGCTTGGTATTCCACCGCACCACTGTTGACATCATCTATGACGTCATGAGGGTGGTGGCCATCAATATCACAGCCCATAGACTCGACAGTCCCCAGGATCTCTTTAATGGTTCCAGAGAGTTATCTGGCGAAAGATCAGTGCCACATCTGTCCAGCAATGTGGACAATCTCATCAAAAGTGATATTTCCACTGTGTTTAGTGCTTTTCTGTTTTTTTCTATCTCTTGGTGGTTCCTTGAGGACTTTTATGATCATGGCCGTGGCAGAAGGTACCACCTCATTCTGGGTCTGTCTGTACCGAATGGTCAGTTTCACTGTAATCCTCAGATCCTTCCAGTCACCGATTGCCTTGGCAATGTCATTACCAAGTTTTTTTGGACACAGACCCAGGATGGCCAATCTTGAGTGTCAGCCCAGACATGGCACCACATTTATCCCTGGTGCACGTCAGGCATACGACTTTAATCTTGCTGGGGTTGAACTTCGGTGGCATGGTGGAGGCCGCTGGTGTCAGATGAACCTGGATTCAGGACGACCGAAGAAAGTTACACCTTGGCCTCCTTCGAGACAAAAGCTGAAAGCAGATATGTAAATTTATTTAACTCAGTATTTCCTGAAGTATATATTGCAGAGCCTCTTTTCTGTAGTATATTAAGAAGTATTATGTAATAAAGGGATTCAGTGACCAAAGGAATTTGAGAAGCTCTGAGTTAAATGAGGTCACATAATAGATTTCTTTTTTTGTAAGAATTCTGAGAGGATTCTTGCTAATATGCCTTGTGATTTCTCAAAATATATAGTATGTATGTCCTAAATTTATTTGATCACACAGTCCTGTGTGTGTGTGTTGGGGGGGGAGCATCTTATGAAATTTGTTTCTGCAGAACACATTTTGGGAGATTCCAATCTCTTTTTGATAATTTGCAATATTTCACTATCATATATAATACTGTTGTGACTATCTTGCCATATAAATCTTGCAGTATAAAACTTACAAGTATCTCTGTTTCCTTATGATCAAATCTCAAAAATATAATTGTTGAGTCAATGACTACACAGTTTGTAGAGTTTCTTGACACCCACTAGCCAAATTGTACTCCTGAAGGAATGACTAATTTATATTCTCACCAGCAGTATAAGAAAAGAGAGAGAAACTAGCTGGAGAGAAGATAGATTTCAGATGTCGAAAGAGAGGACTGTGAATATAGATTTTGTCAGAGGTAGTGCAGAAGTGGCTGAGTTCATTTTTCTAAACTTTTTAACTAAAAGGGTATTTTGATATCAATCTGGGCCACACTCTTTCTTGGAATTTTTTAACAACAGTGTTCAGTTCTAGTACAGTGTTGATTAGCTATGTATTGGTGGCTGGAATTAGCTCAGTCTTTGCCAATTTACAGCTACTGAAAATATTTCACTCACTCGTCTCCAATTTTTTTTCTAATATTTTAGAAACATTGGTTCCATCAGATCAAAGACTTCCTACACTTAGTTAAAATCAAGACTGCTATCAATTCACTTGTTGTTTGGGGGCCACTGGGACGCATGGAAAGTGGTATGGGGGGTGCCAATGTTAGCCTTCTTGACATAGGCATACAAAGCTAGGAGTCTATCTGTCCTAACCACAGGCTCCACCAGAGGCAGGTAAGGACCCAGAACTTATTAGAGTCTCACAGATCTCAATGTTCAGCCCAGAGGAGACAGTGATACTTGGTTTTCTTTAGAGGTGAGAGATTTTTAGCTCACCACTGGCTTCATCAACCTCTGGAGAAATCAGGAATCCTGAGCTAGATATTTAACAAAACTTTGTAAAAGCTGAAAACCGTGTAATGATAGTGTGTCTCTGGACCATAACAGCATATGGAACCAGACACCAGACTAGTTTTCAAGACAAAATGATCTTTGTTAAATTACATGAAAATAATAGGGAGGCAAAGTGTTGCAAGGATACCACCCTGCAAATGCAGAGGCCAGGGCTTTCCTTTGGTCTGTCCACTAAACTAATTTAATAACAAAGCTGTGTGACCTTGGGTAAACTACCTTACCTCTCTGGACTTCCTGCTCCCCCCATCTCTAATTAGGTCTTAAATGACTTCAATTTGCATATCAAGTATTTGACAAAAAGTCAAAATTATTGCAGAGAAAAAAACACTTAATTTGTAGTCACCATCACTGCTCATAGCATATCAATCATTTGGGCAGCAGCATGGATAATTTAATTTTCTCCCTGAGAGAGCATATCAGATGTCAAATGACCTACTTGATGACCTTTCAACCCACCAAGTTCTTTCTAGCCTCAGGGTATTTGCACTTACTACTGGATTTGCCCACAAATATTTCCCTTTGACTTGCAGCTATTTCTCACTTCTCCATCTCAGTTAAAATCTCAGCTACAATCTCTCCAAAGAGGCCTTACCTGGCCATGCATCGGTCACACTCTAGCCCCTCCTCATTCCATTTTAATTGCTTCAAAACACTTGAAATGATCAAACTTAGGGATTTGATCATATGCCTATTGGCTGTTTCCCTCCACAGAATGTAAGATCCACAAAAGACAGATCTTGTGGTCTTGTTCGGTCTGTGCCTAGAACATTGCCCAGCACTGCAGATACCCCAAGGCAGGAAGTAACTCAGTGGGCTGAAAATCAGAAAGGAGGCCATGTGACTGAATCTTGTAGAGTGAGGAGAAAAGTGGTGAGAGGTAATATCAGGGAGATAGGCAGGGGCTAGATCATGTAGGTCTTATTGGCTATGGTGACTACGTGAGAGTAATGCTGTTATTGGTAAACCTTTGAATCTTCTCAGATGTGTATACTTCTAAAAGCAAATCATTTGCAAACAGCTATATTTGACCTGTTATTAGTAAGCAGTTACTTGAGACATACATCACAGCTGATCACCGCATCCCAGTGTGTCACAAATTTATAGTTTTACAAGATAACCTCAAAAACAGGGGCTCCAGGGAGGGGCTTCAGAGAGTTTGTGAGTCCTTGAAGCAAAAGGAAAAATTTTGCTGTGAAGTGCAAGCATTCACGTGTGCTCCTGGAGAGAGGTTCCATGAGCTCCAGCCTATTCTCAATGGGGCCCTATCACCTCCCAATTTCAGAATCATTGATCCCTGCTCTCAGCTTTCTCTGAACACCTTGACTCTTCCAGCATCTTGCTCTAGGCTGGTAAATATGTTTGCTGTCTATTTAAATCACAACTTAAATCTGTGAACTATACTTTCTTCAGTAAGCAGGCAGAGAAGTAAACATGGGGAACATTTACTTTTAAAAAAAGATCAATTAGCAAATGACAACCCATGATAAATCAGCGCCCATGTGTTAAGTAACCGGAGTGCAGGCGGCAAGGGCTGATTTTCCTCCCAATGACAGTCGCTGAAATATCCACATAAGATGATCTTTAAATATTTGACTGTTGCCTTAAAATAGCTACCTTGGTTTTTAAAAAAGAACATAATTTTAAAACCCTTAGCTTATTTTTAATTTATAGTCCCTGAAAAAAATTAAGTGGCTGGCCCAATCATTTATATGCCTGGGCAAAAGCAATACATCTATATAAAAGTACAGTGATATATTTCTGTTGCTACTTTAATGTGCTGCTCCTCGCCCTGTATGTTCTGATTCATTGGAGAGTAGCAATCATGTCGACAGGCGCTGTTCTTCAGTTCCCATCAGCGACAACTAAAGGCCAATTCAAGGTTGTGGTGGGGTCATGAATCTAACACAGTCGCTGATAGAACAATTTCCCTTCCACACAGCATTGTCAGTGGGACACACTGGGAATAGACAGGGAGGCTGGCTGTGTGCATCTCTATCTTCTTGCTTTTTCTTTTGTTTCAGAGCCGGTGTCTGTGGTGTGTGCCAATCCAGCACCATTAGGGAATAGAGGGCCAGTCCGTGGAAAATTGATAAGGGAGAAAATTTCTAATGCCTCAAGAATTTGGGAGGGGGGTGGGAAATAAGCCTGTCCCTCTGTGCAAACAAGTCATCCAACAATGTATTACAAGAGGGTCAAGAGCAGAGAAACAGAAGGAGAGGCAGAAATAAAGGCCTGCTGGTTGGAAACAAGAGAGGTCTCAGAGCTTTACAAAAGAAAATGTTTACATTCCAGAGACTCGGAGGGTTAATTAAATAACCGAGTTCTCTGTTCTTTCATTGCCCAAATAGTGTCTGAATGAGTGAAGATGCTGTCTCTGCAGCTGCTTTTTGTGGTCCTTCCTCATTCTAGCCTGCAGTCCACGGCTGACCGGAAAGCCAACCTTATCTCTATTAGTCCAGAGGGTGAAGGCAGGTTTAATTTAAAACCAAGTCCAAAGATAGAACATCTTGGATGAGGCTTTGATAGCTAGTGTCATAACTTTTGTGGGCTAAGCCTCAAGTTTTGTTGAGATAAAAGCGTCTGGAAAGTGGGTGAAGGATGAGAACCAAGGACTTGGCTAGTTGTGGGGGCAGGTTCCTGCAAGTGAATGGTCCCAGGTCACAGTGTGCAAAGAGCAAGGAGTCTTGCAAGCATTAACAACATTTCACAGCAGTTTTAAACATGGACTTTGAGTTCAGAGAGGACACAAAGGGGTTAAGATTTCACTCAAAGACATGGTGGTGGGTGTGCAGCTGTGACTCGATCCAAGGCCTGTTGGAATCCAGAGCCCTAAGAGTCTAGGACTCTTAGTCCTAGACTTGTGGCTCCCTGTTTTGGATGCCCATGTGAAGGAGGTTGACCATGGCACCCACCTTTCACGTGTCCCTCTGCGTCCCAAACCCCAACTGCATTGATGGCAGTCCTGGTTGTAAGTGTGAGAATTCTTTGCCCTAATAGAATCAAACCTTTTTCAAATATTAGGATAACACTTAAGATGAGTGAGTAACATGTTTTTGATAGCTATAAACTGGCAAAGATGGAGCTAGTTCCAGCTACTACTACATAACTAAGCATTTCTCGCTTCCTGTAACAAAGACAGTTACTTAGGAGGAATAATAAACATGAAATAAACAGTTAATTAATCCATATAAGAGGCAAATCCACCACCACAGTTGCTGTATTTACTATTCTTTTTTTCACAGACAGGGGTTTTGCTCTGTTGCCCAGTCCTTGGTTCTCATCCTTCACCCACTTTCCAGACGCTCTTATCTCAACAAAACTTGAGGCTCAGCCCACAAAAGTTATGACACTAGCTATCAAAGCCTCATCCAAGATTGCCCAGGCTGCAGTGCAATGGTGTGATCATAGCGCACTGTAACCTCGAACTCCATCAGGTCCAGTCTTTTTGTTTTAGAGAGACTAAAACAAAAATACGTTTTTTTAAGAGAAAAAACCCCGATCTCTTAAATGATATTTTCTCCTGTATAAAATGAATACATTGTTGCTATATTTTTTACATTATTATTATATTATTGTTTTGGAAGTACTGTACTGAAAAATAAAAGAAAGAAATTAACCAACCTTAGTGCTACCATACTATTAATATTTTAATGTATTTCTGTTTCATTTATTTTATATGCATAATTTTTGTCAGTTATTTAATGGTCATACTGCTTACATACTTTTGAAAACAATTTTTAAAATTTAACATTTCTATGTAAGCATTTTCTCATGTTATTATGAATTCTT